>NW_003571036.1:0-226852 GCF_000001405.40 Homo sapiens | reverse complement strand
AAGCTTAGAGAATTTTACATAGGATTCCTACACAATATTTATGAAATTGTTCATTCCTACATCAAACAATCTCTTCCAGAAAATTGAGAAAGATAGAATTCTCACAAGAATGTATTAAAAATATAATTTTACTTATGTATCAACATTAAATATAGATAGGAAAAGGAAATATAATTTTATGTCAACTTCACAAGTAAGCATAAAATATGGATGCCAAAATCTATCTTAAAAATAAAAATTAGAAAATTAAAACCAGAATTAAAAGTAATCTCTCTCTTTCTCTTCATATATTTGTGTATATATAAACATATATATGAAAAGATACATATATATACACCCAGACATACATTCATATGTAGTCATATGCTTATTTCTCACCTGCCTATATCTTTATTAGTATGTATGATATATATACCTATATATTCATGCCTATGTACATATATGTATGACTGCTTTATATCTAAGAAATTAATTATGTAATATTTATAATACTATATATGTTATATATATATGTATATAAAGACATAAAAATGGAGATAGATTAGGAAGAACAGAGGCAGACAAGCATATATTAGAACTTGATGTAAGACAAAGTTTTTAATGTTCCTGACAAATTTTTTGGAATATTTGCCTGTACTGTAAAACAGTATCTTTATTAGTTTCCAGAAAAATAAATTGTTGTAATTGTGAACTGTAATATTTTGATTCTTTAGAAAAAATATAAATTATATTTTAATTGTACAGAAATTAGAATCAGAACTGTTTTCTACAAAAGACAAGATAGTAGATAGTTGAGATTTTGAAGACCAAGAGAAAAAATTTGAAGATTTCATGTATACCCTTTTATATAAGAGAGAAAATGAGTTCCTATGAACTATTGAATAAATTTTTTTGTAATACTTATCTACTGATGAGAATGATGAGATTCTTTTCTTCCTTCTTCCTTCCTTTCTGATATAGTTTGGCTATGTGTCTCCGCCCAAATCTCACATTAAAATGTAATTCCAAGTGTTGAAGGTGGAGTCTGGTGGGAGGTAATTGGATCATGGGGGCAGATTTCTCATGAGTATTTTAACACCATCCTCTTGGTGCTGTCCTCACGATAGTGAGTGAGTTCTTGCAAGATCTGGTGGTTTAAAAGGGTTTGGCACTTTCTCTGTCTCTCTTGCCCCTGCTTTCACCAAGTGAAGTGCTTGTCCCCACAGGATTGCCTTCTGCCATGAGTATAAGTTCCCTGAGGCCTCCCTAGAAGCCAAGAAGATGCCAGCATCATGCTTCCCAGACAGCCTGAAGAACTGGGAGCCAATTAAATATCTTTTCTTTATAAATTACCCAGTCTCAGATATATACTTATAGCAATGCAAGAATGGCTTAGTACATTCTTTCTTTCTTTTTGCTTCATTGAAACTCAAAATTTGTGTTCCATATCATCAAAATCCATTGGAAGTGATCTGTGATGAGATTTTTTCTTTTATTTTTTCTATGAAAATCTCTCCTCATAGAGATAACTACTGTCAAATGTTGGTATCAATCAAGAAGCATATGCTTTTAATTGAGCATATTTATAGACTTCTATTAGGTTGTTGTTCTAATATTGGCTTTTTATCATGTCGTTACATTGGAAATCACTTCCAATTAAAGGTTGTATGGAAGTAACTCGATTTTATAATTAAATTCATCTTGAAATATAAAAACTTTTCTTTCAATTTTCACTGAAGTCTTGAAAACACTGTTAAAATGGTAGTTTGAACTCGCAAAATTTATATACTAAAAAATTGTGCCTGGCCAATATAGTGAAACCCCATGTCTACCAAAAATACAAAAATTAGCCAGGCATGGTGATGCACACCTGTAGTTCCAGCTACTCCAGAGGGGAGGCAGGAGAGTCACTTAAAACCAGGAGGCGGAGGATGCAGTGAGCCAAGATCACACCACTGCACTCCAGCCTAGGCAACAGAGTGAAACTCTGTCTCAAGAGAAAAAAAAAAATTAACACCAAGGTGTACTTTTCTTTTTCTCTACTAATCCTTAAGACTTAAGACTTGCTGTATGTACTTTCTAGTACACTAAATATGTTTGATTATACAGGAACACTAATATATACACAAAGATAATCTTCAAAACACTTTATTTTGTGTACAAAATCATATTTATGTACATTGATCTACATTCCATCTGAGCATATTTTTCTCTACATTGTCATCAAATTAGTCTATGACAGCTGACTTCTGATTTTTAGCTTTGTCAGTTACTGCTATTATCTGCAAACTGCAATAATGGCAATCAGATTTAGGATCTGTAAAATGTGACAATGAAACTGTTTTATTTAAAACATTAAATAATTAGGTGTTTTAATAAAACATGCTCTTCCATACATGCGTGGTTAATTCTGTGGTATGAATGATTTATGCATACTCAAAACCAGTTGATATAGTCATAATTTTAACTGTATAGTTATGTGTGACCTTTGTTTAAAATCTTACTATTGCTGTCATTATTGATTTCCATTTTAAGGTATAAGTTAACCTTAACTTATCATGAAATAAAATCAAGATGAATTTTAAATACCTATAAAGGCTAAACTCTATTTCAAGTTTATTTAACAGAAGGGCAATCATCGAACTGTAAGAAAATTTGATAAAATGTGAAGGAGGCACAAGAGAGGAGGGATGATAATAGAATTGCACTCGTACATCCTGTACCTCTTGGTCCAGGTCTTTCTGACCCTCCTTTTAGACTGATCATGGGTACATCTGTTCCAATTATCAGGAAAATGACTTAAGTCTATGATCAATTTTATGTAGACAATGGATCTGTCTTCAAGAACTGGTGGATTTTGTGGGGATTTTTAATGTGTTTGTTTTGTTTTATTTTGTTCACTTCTGTCTGTCCTATTTTTTTTTTTTATTTTACAGACAGGTATTGTTTTGATATATTGTTGTTACTTTGCAACATCTGAAAATAAATTTACAGCTCAGAGAAAATAAATTTATACCTCTGAGAGGAATATCAAAGTCTTAAAAGGTCACAGACAATATCTGCTAACCAAGAGCTTTGAAAATATTGGAACAAACAATGTGTTATTTTAATTTGCAAAGCATAGACAGGGGATCTGTTCTGAATCAGGTCCTTTGGTGATGGAGGATGGGGTGCCCTGAGCTAAGATGAATGGCCACTGGAGGATATATTGTGGCTGAGGCTGGCTCTATAGTAAAAGCATCAAGATAGACAGCAGCAGGTCTCAAACTTTCCTGACAGCATATGTTTCCTGAGTAACATTCTTTCTTCTGAATCTTGGATTTAAAGCCTGAGAGTCAGGCAGGAGAAAAGACTTAGTCTCTTTGGGGTTCTAGTCTAATCTAGCCACCTCATCCAATTCTTTATTTCACATGCAACATACCTGCTATCCTCTTTGCAATCCTTTGATGATTTTCTGCTTTCATGAAGGTAGTAAAAATGTTGTATTATTTTCTTTTTTTTTTCTTTTTTTTTTTTTGAGGCAGAGTCTCACTCTGTTGCCTAGGTTGGAGTGCAATGGCGAGATCTTGGCTCACTGCAACCTCTGCCTTCCGGTTTGAAGTGATTCTCCAGCCTTAGCCTCCTGAGTAGCTGGGACTACAGGCGCAAGCCATCACGCCCGGCTAATTTTTTTTTTTTTGTATTTTTAGTAGAGACGAGTTTCACATGTTGGCCAGGATGGTCTCGATCTCCTGACCTCGTGATCCACCCGCCTCAGGCTCCCAAAGGGCTGGGATTACAGGCGTGAGCCACTGTGCTTGGCCAAAATGTTGTATTATTTTCTAAAGCAGAGAGAGAGAAAAAAAAAAGAGTACATTTTCTTATTGTCTTAGTCTTTTTTGTGTTGCTCCAGCAGAAAACCTGCAACTAGGTAATTTATAAAGAAAAAAGGATTTTTAGCCTACTGTTCTGCTGGTTGAAAAGATCAAGAGCATGGCTCTGGCTTCTGGAGAAGGCTCTCCTGCTGTGTCATAACATAGCAAGAAAGGTCAAAGGGGAAGCTGACCAGTGTGAAGTGAGATAACCAAACAGAACAGGAGGAACCTCACTTTATAACAACCTGCTGTCAAATGAAATAATCCATTTTTGTGAGAACCAATCTTTTCTTGTGAGATTTAGGACTCACTTGCTCCACAGGATCAGCACCAAGCCATTCATGAGGGATCCACCTTCATGACTCAAACACCTTCCTCTAGGCCTCACCTCCCAACACTGCCACATTGGGGATGGAATTTCAACATGGCTTATACTGGGAACAATCAGACCATATAAAAACCACAGCAAATCCTATTTCACTCACCTTTTTTAAGGGACTGTTGTGTCCTCTGAGAAAGAAAAAATGCCATACTAGGCAATGATAAAAAGTTAAATTCTAAATCCCATGTATTCTTCACGGTCTAAAATGGAAAGACCAAAAGGATGCCAAGGGAGTTTGCCCTAAAAAACAATAATTTTCAGGAGCCATCCAGAGAGTGTCTAGGCAAATTGACTTTACTCAGTGATATTTATATTTCCGGTGTGGTTTCCTCTAGTAGAAGACACGTTGACATGCTTAAAATCTTCTCTAGATGCTGGACATCAAACTGAGTCATGACACTCACCTGCCTGACCCCACAAATGGCAGCTTCTTTTGGTATTATTCTTAAAATGCAAGATTTTTAAGTTTTAAAAACATTTTAATCCATCCTCTCCAGAGATTTACCTAGCTTTCTCCATTGCAGCTTGCAGCTACATTGGAGAGCTTTAGACTAGATAATTTTACTTAAAAAGCATCTTCAGCCATCCACTCTTCTTTAAAACTAGGGCACAATCAATCATTTTGAAGGTTAAATTCCTCTGAATCATTTAGGTGAGGTTGAAATAAATGTAGCTATTTTTTTTTCTTTTTCTGCATTGACATTAATTAAACTGAGACCTAATTACATAAGCTATGCTAAAATAACTTTTATGACTTGAGCCAGCATAATATTTCAGAGTTCGGTTTTAACTCCTAATACTACATTTCCACAGCCTGTGCTAGAACAGAAACTCGCCTCTAAAGACAAAAATAATACTTGGTCCTTTTTTATAGCTTTAGCCCCTAGATATAGCTTTCTTCCACAGCCTTATCATTCCTACAATAACAAGACTCCAATCATGACTGTTACCCATTATGTGTATCTCTTCCCAAGCAGTCTATATTTGTTGAATAGTGACTTAAGCCAGTTGAAAAACATGGTGGGCAAAAGACATTCTTGAAAGTAACTTTAAAAAAATATTTCATGAGTACATATAGCATTAAGCACTCAGGTTTTTTATTGGAGTGTGTGTTAGAAAGAATGAAAAAAAGAGTTGTTTTAGCATTGGTATACATTTTTAAAATACAAATGCATGTTATTTTTGTTTATCTTTGTTGTTATTATATACTTCTTTGTTATTATTGATATACAGATTTCTTACTGGAAACCAATTCATATAATTTATTAATACATTTTTATAACACACAATAAAATGATGAAAATACCAAATATGCTAATAAAGTTGACCAAAGTGAGTAAACATTAAAGATTATGAGTTTCTCCATTATTTACTATTAATTATAAGGAACAGAAGGAAAATTATCAACTGTACATGTTCAAAATATTGTAATAAAACCATTAAAATACTAAAAGGAATAAAATTCTAAATGAAGCTGTGATTTATTTGAATTAGTACTATAGTATTATATCTGATTTCTTTACTTAATGCCTTATAAAACTTCAAAAATTAGAATTTTCAGCTACTCTCAACTGGAGAAGTTAGGTAATTCCCAAGTACATTTCTATAAACTCATCTAATAAAGAATATAAAATAACAGTAAAAAAGTATAGTAATAATTTTTCTCCATATCCTTTTCTCATATACCTGGAACTAGATACAAATATAGTTAGTTCGTATATAATTTAAAAAAAGCCATTTCCTAAAAATGGTGATAAAATGTTTCCCATTTGCTCATAACAGAATATAATTTTTATATTTATGGGTGTGTTCTTTACAAACATTAAAATTGTGACTTAAAAGATAGTTTCTTTGAACATTTTTATTGCAATTTAAGATATAGAATCAATAGAGAACTTGCCCATTTCTTTGTTTAATACCTTTTAGGCTATGTAACATTTCTTTTTATAACAACATAACAATTATTTTAATAATAGTTGAGACTTACATGAGAAGATACAATTTCTTCCCATCCTCTATCCCTGTATCCCACCCTAAGAAAAAGTGAAAACTTGTTTTCATCACATTTTGTTATATACCTTTTTTCTATTTCTGATTACCTTTCTATTTCACAAATGCTTTTCCCACATTTAGCTCTTGCATTAGATGAGTTCTTTTTAATACAAGCATTATATTTTTAAGATGAATAACTGTAATAACTAAGGAAATACCTTTCAAACAGTAACATTTTAATAAACTTGACATACAATAAAAAAGGGGAGGAAAAGAAAAGTTGTGTGTGTATGTTTGTGTATGTGTGTGTGCATGTGTCTGATCAATTGATTTTGAGGCAGACAGCTATTCCATTGTTTTTGTTGACAAGAGAAATAACTCCGAGAAGTCTGAGCTCTGTGAGATGTGCAGGCCCAGAGACACACAAGTATGAGACGTCATTCATCCCCCTTCATGCCTGAGGGCAATTGTTTAATGTCATTTTGTTCCTGACCAGCAGCCTCATCAATTATCTCCATGTTCCTACAATTTATGATAAAAGAAACAAATGTTTAGCAAGTTAATAATTTGTTACTTTAATGTAAATTCTGGTAAACAGTTTAGAAAATGCCTCTTCTGAGCTTTCTTTTTTTGCTTCATACTGCATTTACTATTTTTTGACACCATTAAAAGTTCTTCACAAAGATGTTTCTCTGAGCTTGCACAATGTTCTAATAATGGATGAATTACCAATCACTTGAAAAGAACTCAGAAACTTGAAAAGGCAAAGGGTGGGGTTTCCTCTTCATGGCACATGCTGCTTCCAGAACCTTTCTTTCAGGTTTCTAATTTTCCTCATTTGACATTGCAGAAAGTGTTTCTCAAGTAACACTCCCTCCCCCATGCCCTAGGTCCCCTTTACAGGTCTTTTTTTGGGAAGTATAGGGTAGGCAGCTCTTCTCTTATTTTCTTTTCCTTTGTTTAAAAATTTTAGATTTAGGAGGTACATATGCAGATATCTCATACAGATAAATTGTGTAATGGTGAGATTAGAGCTTCTAGTATACCCATCACCTAAATAGTGAACATGGTAACCAATAGGTAATTTTTAAACACTCACCCTCCCTCCCAGCCTGCTTCCTTTTCAAGTCCCCAGTGTCTATTATTTCCATCCTTAAGTCCATGTGTACCCATTGTTTATGTTTATCTCCCACTTATTGGTAAAAACATGTGGTATTTGACTTCCTGTTTCTGAATTATTTCACCTATGATAAAGACTTACAGCTCCATTCATGTTACTGCAGAGGACATAATTTCATTCTTTTTGCAGGTGCATTGTATTCCATGGTGGTTATATACCACATTTTCTTTATTCAGTCCACAGGTGATGAACACTGAGGTTGACTCCATGATTTTGCTATTGTGAATAATGCTGTAATAAACATATGAGTGCAGGTATCTTTTTAATATAATGATATCCTTTCCTTTGGGTAGATGCCCAGTAATGAGATTGCTAGGTTGAATGGTAGCTCCATTTTTAGTTTTTTGAGGAATATCTATACTGGTGTCCATACAGTTTTTGCTAATTTACAGTCCCAAGAAGAATGTATAAGAATTCCTTTTTTTCTAATTCCATGCCAACATTGTTGTTTTTGACTTTTTGATGGTAGTCATTCTAACTGGTATAGAATGATATCTCCTTGTGGTTTTTAATTTTCATTTCTCTGGCGATTAGTGATTTTGAACAGTTTTTCATGTTTGTTGGTCATTTGTTTGTTTTCTTTTGAGAAATATCTTTTCATGTCCTTTGCCTACTTTTTAATGGAGTTATCCGATTTTTTCTTGTTGAGTTTTGTTTCAGTTCTTTGTAGATTCTAGATATTAGTCTTTTTTTTTTGGAGACACAATTGGCATAATCTTCTCCCATTCTGTAGATTGTATCTTTACTCTGTTTTTTTCTTTAGCTATGTAGAGTCTTTCAGTTTAATTAAGTGTCATTTGTCTATTTTTTGTTTGTTGTATTGGTTTTGGGAGTGTTAGTCATAAATTACTTGCCTTAGCCAATGTCCAGAAGAGTTTTTACTAGGTTTTTATCTAAGACTTTATAGTTTCAGATATTATATTTTATTTAATCTGTCTTGAGTTAATTTTTGTATGTGGGGAGAGATAGGGGTCCAGTTTCATTCTTCTGCCTATGGCTAGCTAATTATCCAGCACTGTTTATTAAATAGGGTGTTCTTTCCCATTGTTAAATTTTGTTGACTTTGCTAATGATTGGTTGGTGGTAGGTATGTGGCTTTATTTCTAGATTCTCTATTCTGTTCCATTATTCTGTGTGTCTATTTTTGTATTAGCACCATGTTGTTTTAGCCATAGTAGTCTTGTAGTATAATCTGAAGTCAGGTAATGTGGTGCCTTCTACTTTGTCTTTTTGCTTGGGATTGCTTTGGCTATTCGGGCTCTTTTTTGATTTCATATGATCTTTAGTAGTGTTTTTTTCTAATTCTGTGATGAATGATATTAGTGATTTGATAGGAATTTTGTTGAATCTTGAGATTGCTTTGTGGAGTATGGTCACTTGAATGATATTCATTCTTCCAGTCTATGAACATGGACAGTTTTTCTATTTGTTTCTGTCATCCATACTTTCTTTCACCAGTGTTTTGTGGTTTTCCTCCTAAAGACATTTCATCTCCTTGGTTAAATGTATTCCCAGGTATTTAAAAAAAAAATTGGCTATTGTGAGTGGGATTGTGTTCTTGATTTCACTATCAGCCTGAATTTTGTTGATGTCTAAAAATGCTACTGACTTTTGTACATTGATTTTGTATCCTAAAATTTTGCTGAAGTCATTTATTAATTCTAGGAGCCTTTTGGCAGAATCTTTAGGATTGTCAGCAAAGATAGATATTTTGATTTCTTCTTTTTCTATTTGGATGCCCTTTATTTCTCTTGCCTGATTGCTCTCTTAGGACTTCCAGTATTATGTTGAATAGGAGTGGTGACAGTAGACATCCCTGTTTTGTCCCAGTTCTTAGAGGGAATGCTTTCAACTTTTTACCATTCTGTACAATATTGGCTATGGGTTTTTGTTACATGGTTCTCATTATTTTCAGTTATGATCCTTTGATGCCTATTTTTTTGAGAGTTTTATCATAAAGGGATGTTGGATTTTATCAAGTGCTTTTTTTGGATCTATTAAAATGATCATATTTTTTCATTTTTAATTCTTCTTATATATTGAATTATAGTTATTGATTTTAAATGTTCAACCATTCTTTGCATGCCTAGAATAAAGTCCATTGATCATGGCAAATTATCTTTGGGATGCAAAGTTGGATTTAGTTTGCTAGCATTTTGCTGAGGATTTTTGCATCTTAGTTCATTAGCAATACAGGCCCAAACTGTTGTTGTTGTTGTGTCCTTGCCTGATTTTGATATCAGGGTGATACTGGCTTCATAGAATGAGTTAGGGAGAAATCAGTCCTTCTCAATTTCTTCCAATAATGTCAATAAGATTGGTACCAGCTTTAATCTGTAGGTTTGATAAAATTCAATTGTGAATCTCTCTTGTCTTGGACTTATTTTGCTGAAAGATTTTCTGTTACTGATTCACTTTCATTACTTATGATTGGTCTGCTCAGGATTTTCTATTTCTTCCTGTTTCAATCTTGCAAGTTGTATGTTTCTAAGAACTTAACCATTTCCTCTACATTTTCTAGTTTGTGCACATAGAGATGGTCGTAGTAACTTATGAGGATCTTTTGTCTTTCTGTGGTATCAGCTATAATGTCACCTTTATCATTGCTGATTGTGCTTATTTGAATTGTCTCTCTTTTTTCTTAGTTAAACTAGGTAGGAGTCTATCAATTTTGTTTATCCTTTCCACAAAGCACATTTTTATTTCATTGATTCTTTGTATCTTTTTTTTTGGTCTCAGTCTCATCAAATTCTGCTCTGATTTTTGCTATTTCTTTTCTTCTGCTAGCTTTGGGTGTGGTTTATTCTTTTTTTTTTTTTTCATAGTTCTTTTGTTTATATTTCCTTGAGGTGCAACATTAGGTTGTTAATTTGTGATCTTTCTCCTTTTTTAATGTAGGCATTTAATGCTATAACTTCCCTCTTAGCATTGCTTTTGCTGTAACCCCCAGATTTTGGTATGTTATGTTTCACATTCAATTGCTTAAAAAGTTTTTTTTTATTATTATTATACTTTTTCTCCCTTAATTTTGTTGTTTACCCAAGAATCATTTAAAATAAGGCTGTTTAGTTTCCATGTACTTGTGGAGTTTCACCAGTTCTTGTCAGTATTTATTTCTAATTTTATTCTGCTTCAGTCTAAGAAGATGCTTGATAAAATTGTGATTTTTTTAATATATTGAGACATGTTGTATATGGTATAAAAAAAGCTAGATAAAAATTTAGATCTGTTCATAAACAAAAATTGAGAAAACATATTTTTAAAAATTATGCAATTTTTTACCTATAAATACTGGTATAAAACCATTCAAAATCACTTACTTCCTAGTTTTTTTCACTAAAAATTAGGGTTACTAAGAGTTAAAGTTGTAGTTAATGTATGTAATAAAAACCAGTATAAGAGAAATAATGTTATATGCAGAGCTATAAAGAAAGTAAGATCTAAAGAAAGGTGAAAAGAGAGCAATTTTTTTTTTCTTTTGCATGACAAGGAACTTTGTGTTGTCAAAAGGATAAGGAGGAAAAGAAACTAAATTTTTGCCCTAAGGTAGAGTGCCAATATAAAAAAAGGATTATAGGACAAAACTAAAGGTCTGAGTAAGTTGAAGAAGGTTTGTGGAAGATTAATCGTGTGAAAGAAATCTTGTGTGTGATCAAGTTGGGTAAAATGAGATTAGTTTCTCTAAAATTGAGCATCAATATCAAGGGACACTGATGCCAGTCCAGAGTCTGGATCCCTGTGTAGGAATCACAGAATTTTCTAAAAGCATTGATCTGCTCTTTAATAGAAAATGTTAGAGATTTTGAAAAACTTATGGAAATCTTATCGTCTGTGGTCAAAACTGTTCAAGATTAGATTGATTTGTTTGTAAGGTTTTATTCAAATTAGCTTTATCATTAACAATATACTGATGAAAAGATTAATTTTGGTTTTCTCTTTTAAACAAGATTTTCATATCATGTTAATAAGACATAATAAAAGACTTGAGTTCACCTTTTGAGTAATCTGCAAAAAATAAAAATAAAAGAGGGAAGACAGATTCTGTTAGTCTCATGTTGTCTTTATCAGGTTGTTTGATTACGTGGATAGCTGACTTTCCTCTCTACCAAAGAGTAAAAGATTTGCTTTCTGAAATCTTTAAATTATCATTTTGTCTGAATCATTGATGATTATTTTACAGTAATACGTAATACTATATTGATTAAGTATTTTAAAACTTTAAAATTTGGTCTGGGCACAGTGACACACACCTGTAATTCCGATACTTTAAGAGGCTGAGGTGGGATGATTGCTTGAGCTGAAGAGTTTGAGACTAGCTGGGCAACAGAGGGAGAACTCAACTACAATTAAAAAAAAAAAAAAAGAGAGAAAAAAATAGGAAAAAAGAAAAAAAGAAACTTTAATATAATATTTGAGATACTTTCCTTATTTGTTATGTTAAAAACATAGAGGAGCTTATCATCAAAGAAGAAATGGTGTTTAAACACCGCATATTCTCACTCATAGGTGGGAATTGAACAATGGGAACACATGGACACAGGAGGGGGAACATCACACTCTGGGGACTGTTGTGGGGTAGGGGAAGCGGGCAGGGATAGCATTGGGAGATATACCTAATGCTAGATGACGAGTTAGTGGGTGCAGTGCACCAGCATGTCACATGTATACATAGGTAACTAACCTGCACATTGTGCACATGTACCCTAAAACTTGAAGTATAATAATAAAAAAAAAAAAGAAATGGTGTTTAACTTTTTTGAATTATATTTGTATAAATGTGTTATTAATATGGATTCCAAAATAGCATCAGATTCCTAAAATTCTCATATGTCTTAATATGACTTATCAGTAATAATTATGATTATTATTTTTGGCTGTTGTATGAATATAGAAATAACCAAATTTTCTTGTCATTTGCATTTTTAACATTGTCCCCTAAGCCTTCTATTTCACAGATAATTATTGTTTTACTTTGAGACTTCTCAAAAATTGGTTTATAATTGGCTACAGTCCAAAATTTGCTTTTACTTCAAGGATATTCATGGGAAAGTATCCTGAGAAATAATTACTCTTTTTTTTTTGTTTGTTTTTTAGATGGAGTCTCACTCTATCGCCCAGGCTGGAGTGCAATGGTGTGATCTCATCTCACTGCAACCTCCACCTCCCAGGTTCAAACGATTCTCCTGCCTCAGCATCCTGAGTAGCTGGGATTACAGGCATGTGCCACTACGCCCAGCTAATTTTTTATTTTTAGTAGAGACGAGGTTTCTCCATGTTAGTCAGTCTGGTCTCAAACTACTGACCTCATGTGATTCACTCACCTTGGCCTCCCAAAGTGCTGGGATTACAGGCGTGAGCCACCGCTCCCAGACGACAAGTACTCTTGAATAGAGGTTTCTGATGACTTTGGAGGTTACATTATCGGACTAAGTCAAAACTTTCCAAACTCTACTAAACTTTATGTGTTCATGAAGATTGCTAACCTAACATCAAGCAAAACAACAATTAATTACATCAAACTGAGATGATAAACAACTGAAATAATATTTTTGACTTTTTGTTTGAAACATTACTGAGTCTTTGAACATTTTGTTTTCTAAAGAAAACTTTTTGAGCTCTTTATAGCATATAGAAATTGTGTAAAATATACCCATGTGAGCAAAATTAAAATATTTGCATTTCTCTCTGATTTCTCCAAAATTTGGAAACTATTCATGAGTATCTTATTTTATGGCAAACATGAGTTCTGTAAGAACAGGACAAAATTGGAAACACTGGCTATTTTACCAAGGCTTTGACTTGAATGACACATTTTCCAATACGAGCAGCCTGCTTTGAGGAATTGAGGTTGACTTTATAGAGCAAATAAAAAGTCTCTTGGAAAGACTCGCCTGGTATCTTGTCTGTACACATCCCTTTCAAGGTTTGTGACCTTGTAGGAAGTAAAGAACGTTACTTTTGAACAGGCAAAGGGACCTAAAATATTTGGGGGAGATTGAGAAGAGAAGAATTCACCCAATTTGTTCAAGTATCATAGGTACAGTCTAATAGTGACTGTCACTTACCAGCCTTGAGGCTTTTAAAAGTCTAATCCAAAATTCCATATGAAAATTCCATCAAAGCTAACTTAAAAGAGTCTATATGGTCAGTAAAAATTCCTGTTGAACGTCATATGAATAATCAGGCCAAGTATATAACTAAAACTTATTTTGCAAGTAATTTGTGCTACTAAGGTTTATCTTTGGTAGAAATGGGGAACTGGAGAGAGAAAAATTGTTTCAGAAGAAAATTATAGCATCTATTATTAGATTTCCAGCCCTGACCATTGTTTTTGAGTTTTTATTATTTTGCTAAAATCTTGACTAAATCTCTAGTGTAATAGATGCAATATATCCCTCATTGTTTTCCCTCTCAGATAATGAAAAGCATGAAATTCTGAAGATAAGTGATGATTCAACAAGTGATAGCAGTTACATGAATCAGTGACTTTACTGACAACTATCTTAGAATGAGCCTTCCAAGTGCCAAGGAATGTAGGACTATGCAGAAATGGATCCTCAATGTTTTCATGGGGAGATTTTTGATCAACAGGGGGGAAATGAGAAAGAAAAACTGTATCACAAGCATTCTGAGCTCTTTGAAGCATGCAGGCCCAGAAAGATAAGTACGGGACTTCAGTCATGCCACACTCCTCCTGCACCCACGTCTAGGGCAATTGTTTTGAAGGAAGAGAAAGACTCTCTCATGTTATTTTATATTGTTTTATATACAGTACCTGTTTTAACAAAAAACAACAAAGAAGTAAAACCAAAGACAGACAGCCCGGCGCCAGGCCCGAAACCAGGCCTGGGCCTGCCTGGCCTAAACCCAGTAGTTAAAAATCAACTTATAACTTATAAACTGATGTTATTCATAGATTCCAGACATTGTATAGAAGAACTTTGTGAAACTCCCTGCCCTGTTCTGTTTCTCTCTGACCACCAGTGCATGCAGCCCCTGTCATGTACCCCCTGCTTGCTCAAATCAATCACGACCCTTTCATGTGAAATCTTTAGTGTTGTGAGCCCTTAAAATGGACAGAAATTTTGCACTCAGGGAGCTCAGATTTTAAGGCAGTAGCTTGCTGATGCTCCCAGCTGAATAAAGCCCTTCCTTCTACAACTCGGTGTCTGAGAGGTTTTGTCTGCGGCTCGTCCTGCTACAGTTTAAATCATTTTGTTACTGACTAGCTGCCTCACCCATTAACTTCATACTCCTGGAATGTGTAATACAAAGAACAATGTAGAGCCAATCAATAGGTTATGTTAGTTTAATATAACAACTTACAAACTGCCTCTTCTTTCACTTTAAAAACCTGCCTGGAAGGATTGCCAGATCCTCGGAGTTCAAGACAAACTTGTTCAACATAACAAGAATCAGTTTTTAATTTTTTTTTTTTTTAATTAGCTGAGTGTTGTGTTGCACACCTATAATCTCAGCTACTTGGGAGGCTGATGTGGGAGAATTGCCTGATCCCAGGAGTTCAAGGCTGCAGTGAGCTATGATTGTACCACTGCACTCCAGCCTGGATGACAGAATGTGACCTTGTCTCAAAAAAGAAAAAGAAAAGAGAGAGAGAGAAAGAGAAAGAAAGAAAGAAAGAAAGAAAGAAAGAAAGAAAGAAAGAAAGAAAGAAAGAAAGAAAGAAAGAAAGAAAGAAAGAAAAGAAAAAGAAAAAAAAATCTACTTGTAACTGTTGCTAATTGGAGTGTATCATTATATTCTGGGCAATTTGAATCTATTCTCCCAGGTAACATTCCTCAAGCATGTCCCAAATAAACTCTATACTTGTATTAATTTTGCCTCAGTTTCTTCCTTTAGGTTGACAAATGTATAAAGTTGTGCAACACAGTTTTTTGGCTGTATTAAGGATAAAGAAGAAACAAGGTAAATTACACTTAATATTTCAACTTCTATCATTCAGATGTTCAAATCACTAACAGTGAATCAAAGAGAACATACTGGTATAACTTAGAACTCTGATAATTGAATTAAGTAAATCACAAGAAAGTGAGTCAATCTATCTTTAATTTTTCAACCTAAGTACTAAATTATAAATTCATGGTTCTTGGGTGAAGAAGATATTTCGGTTTGTGTCCCCTAAATAGAAGTTAAGCTTTATTTGCATTTCTGAAAATGAGATGAGCAAACATTAACATATATAAGGAAAAGTTTTGGGTAAGGAAAGTCATTAATATAGTTCTTAAGTAAAGGAGAAACAGACAAAATATCAGTCCTCCTGCCTCTTGACCTTTTTTCATGAGATATATACAGATATATACCTATAAGTGAGTCACTTTACCAAGAAAACTTACTTGGTTATAATTAAATTCATGTTCACTGTCAATGATAAACAAAGCTGGACAGTAGTTAAATCCTTAGGGACAGATTTTATTTAGTGATACCCATTCTAATAAGAAAGGGAATCCAGAATGAAGTGAATTCAAATTTACCATAACTATAGGCAGGATAATTTTTAAAGGTTGGAGTGTACTTGGGGAAAAGAACTAGAGATAGCAGGGGGGTTTGTTGGACATGTGAATAGGTCCTTTGGGTTTGCTAAATGGTGCTTGTCAGAGGAAGAACAAACTTCTCTATTTTTATCCCATGAGGCCGTGGTGCAAGAGTGAGCATGGACCCCACTGAAGTTAGACCCTATTCTCCCACAGGAACTGGAGAAGGAGAGTTTTCTCTCTAAATGTTTGCATTTCAAATAAGTTCACAGGCCATGGAGGAAGCAGTTCTGGGTGGTAGATTTGCATCTTAAAAGGCAAAGGACTTATAATTGCAAAGTTACTAAAGAAACTACTCTGAAGAGGAGTTTGGGAACCTATCTGCCTATCACCAGGTTTTGGCTGAAACAAAAAGTAAATTATCTTGGCAACACAACACTGTATTAGCCAAGCATTTAAAAGGGGACTAAGGTAATCTTGAGTATATGACTTTAAGCTGTTAGAAACTGCGCTGAAGTTTGTTCAAGTCTCTTATTGTATGGGTTTGGAGGGAATAATGTGTCAAGAGTTCCAAAATTCTCACCATTAAGCAATGTTCTAAATTTTTGTTTAGATTGCAACATACATTAGCTTAAGAAGATAATGTGTTAGCTAAAGGGTTTAAATATTTGGTTATTTTGGCAGATGCATTTCCCAATTAAAATTATATTCAAAGAATCTGTTTTAAAATAGCACTTAACAACAAACTCTTGGTATAGATTTGTTTACATCTTACAAGAAAATACTCATGCAAACTATTAAAACATTCTAACAGCAAATGTTTAAACTCACATGAAATTTTAAGACCTGCACAAACTGATGAAATTAATAAACATGACTATTGGTCTATTCTTGATCATCTGCCTGTAGAGAGGTAGACCATTTATCCTTCATCATGCTTGATATGGTTTGGATCTGTGTCCCCACCCCAATCTCATGTTGAATTGTAATCTCCAAAGTTAGAGAAGGGGCCTGGTGGGAGGTCCCCTTGCTGTTCTGAGAGTGCGTGAGTTATCATGAGATCTGGTTGTTTAAAAGTGTGTAGCACCTTCCCCTTCTGTCTCTTCCTCCTGCTCTTGCCATCTAAGATGTTCTTGCTTCCCCTTCACCTTCCTCCATGATTGAAAGTTTCCTGAGGCTTCCCCAGCCTTGCTTCCTGTAGGTCGTGTGGAACTGTGAGCCAATTAAACCTCTTTTCTTTATAAATTATCCGGTCTCAGGTAATTCTTTATAGCAACAGGAGAAAAGACTAATACCATGCTTTACTTTTTCTCATTCAGCCAGTGTCTTTACCAACAAATAATTCATGCTATTATTAAGGTTTTCAGAAAACCACTGGGCAGAGAGTAAAAGGTTTTTGATAGTTGAGGCTACATCCTGAGGTATGTAATGACCATAAGCTCTGGATATTGACGTAAATGGTCCTGTTAGCAGAGGGCTTTGGGGGTACTAATCTGTACGTGCTTCATCTCAAGCACATCTCAAGATGTGATCATATGTGAATATATCACATACAAATTTGACAAAATGTGGTGCAATCACTGATCTCTTGCTACAGGAATCAAGGAAGTAATTGATCTACTACTAAGGACCAAGAATAACCTGCACTCCTTTGTTCCTTAACACCCTGATCAATACAGAGCATTTTCATGTTAGGGCAAATTAAAGTAAAAAGGAAGGAGGGAAGAAAGGAAGAAAATGAGGGGAAAAAAAGGAAGCAAGGAATGAAGGGATGAAGGGGTATAAAAGAAAGGAGGGAAAAAGTATTCGAATATTGTAGATAAATTTAATAAAGTATTACAAGATTCAGAAAATTTGAACCTCAAAAATGTACTTTGTAAAACCTAGGGCCAGAAAAGTTTGTAAAGAAGATTTCCATGAAATATTAGTAAAAATTAAGGAATATAGGTTAGGTTGAAATAAAAAGGAAACAAAAGAAGATAAAGTAGAAATGAATAAGAAGACAACAAATTGCATAAAAGCAAAAGAAAAGGCCAAATTAAAATAATGTTAAAAACAATATAGAAGAAAATTGGCAACATTAGAAAATGTAGCAATGTAAAGGGTAAATCTGAGAAGCAATTCTACATTGAGAAAATAAGGATATAGAGATAAAGTCTTTAGACTATGTAGAATTGATGTTAGAAAATGATGCATGCTTAATATATACATCAGAAAGCAAATGAACAAGATTAATAACAAAAAACAGAAGAAAATTTAAAAATAAAACAGAAGAAAAGGTTTTGAGCTTAGAAAAAATAACAAAACATATAAAATTGTTATTTGAAAAGGTTTATAACCTTTCGGGAAAGACCAATAAATCCATTTTGAGGGAATAAACCCATTTTGAGGGAATGACAGGAAAGAAATAACAGTCTGTTGATACAATATATTGTACCCTGAAATTCTAAGTTTCACAGAGTCATTTATTTTACTTTCTTTAGAGAATAGTCTTGTTTTAATTTTTTCTTTAATTCTGGCGATATGAGTTGTGCATTCTAATTCACTCTGAGTAAGGATTAGGATTCATTAGGGGAGAGCATTTGGGACAATGAGGGATGCAATTGCTGTGCATATGAACTTTCATTTAACTCCACTGTTCCGATCCCATATCGTTCCTGCCTGTGAGTTTAGAATTTGCCTGGATTGCTAACATGCTTTTTTGTAAGTTGCAAACCCCACATATATATTCTTTGCTGCTGCTGACTTGCTTCTCTTTTAACCATCAACAGACAGACATTTTATCTTTCTCTCTCCAAGAAATCAGTTAAACCTTCCTAACCAGTAAAGGATTTAGTTCTGATATATATATATATATATATTTTTATATATATATATATATTTATATATATATATATATATATATTTATATATATATATATATATATATTTTTTTTTTTTTTTTGAGATGGAGGTTTGCTCTTGTCACCCAGGCTGGAGTGCAGTGGCACGATCTCCGCTCATGCTACCTCTGCCTCCTGGGTTCAAGTGATTTTCCTGCCTCAGTCTCCCAAGTAGCTGGGATTACAGGAGTGCACCACCATGACCAGTTAATTTTTGTATTTTTAGTAGAGATGGGGTTTCACCATGTTGGCCGGAGTGGTCTCCATCTCCTGATCTTGTGATCCACCCGCCTTGGCCTCCCTAAGTACTGGGATTACAGGTGTGAGCCACCACACCTGGCCTAGTTCTGTCATTTTAATGAGGGCATAGAAGGACATAGAGACAGGCATCATAGTGTCTTCGAGAATAAGGATGTTCTTTCTCCCCATGTATAGAAAGAGTACATCTAGAATGAAAGTCTTAATGACCTACTCTGGGGAAAGGGCCTAGAATTCTTTTATGACTTTCTTCAGGAGAGAAGGGCAAGAGAAGGTCAGAGCATGACCTTCCTGCCTCTGCTGTTTTCCTAAAAGCCAAAGTGTGATTTTGGGGGTAGCATGTCCTAAACCCCATTACAAGAAAGGGACATGGTGAGATTATTCTTTCATAAAGGCAAGTGAATTAAGTTTCGATAAGAACAAACTCACTGTGATTGTGTATTCCTTAGTATTTGAATAGAGGAAAACAAAAAAATCTCTCTTCAAGGGATATTGAGAAATCTAATTAAATAAAAGTCTATTGTTTTAAAGTAAAATGATAGTTAATTTTTTAAATACTAGAAATTACTATCTCCAAATGTTAAGTGATTATATATGGCTGTTTAACGAAATAATTCCATTTTCCCATGGATCATGTTGGGTTAGGTCAGGTCCTTGGGTCTCAAGTATTCTTTGTATCTGGCAATATTGACTCTCTGGATGTGTTAAGTCTTTCACGTAGACACTATAAATCTTAAAACATTCCATACCTATTATAGTGTCTTAAGGACAAAATAGTTGCAAATTACTTTTCAAGAGAAGAGTTTAGATGGAATATAAGATTCATGTGGAGAGACAGAGTATAAGCTGTGCATAGGAGATATTTCAACTCCAGAAAAAGAGCCAAGAACATTTTTTTTCCTCTCCACTTCACTTTCAAAGTTCACTGGAAAGAAAATCAAGTTTTTCATGTCTTCAGTTCTTCCAATTGGGTAGGAAAGAAAAATGTGATTTAATAAATTTGATTTGTGACAATGTTTAGAATGATGGTTGTGCTCTCAGACATGAACTTACATTTGTGGAAATTTGAGATTTATAAAAATTTAAGGGACAGTTTGCTTAAGGGGAAAAATAAATCACATACTGTCCTTTATTGAACAGTTCATACTTACAAATTAGGTCACATACACAAGAAAATCTTTTCCAAAAAATATTTTTCTATTTGGGCTCCAGTGCCTGTTTCAGCAGGAACAGTAAGTGAGAGAATAAACTGTTTACATATACTTATGCCCCAATAATATACTCAGGGTTGTTACTTTCCTAACCAAAGTACTATGCTAACATCGGATCCTCTATTTCCAACACACAGCTCTAAAAAATGTTTATCATGTTGAAGCTTTTTCCTAGGTACTTTAAGGAAGTGCCAAGGCATTCACAATATATTTATATTAGATTTCAGATTGTTGGGGTACATTATTTTAGTACCAATATGATTACACCCATGAATAATTAAATCCTCCATATTTTGTATCATGACTGCTCATAAACATTTTCATTTTTAAAAACATGAATGCTGTATTTTAAAAAATCATTTTGTATAGTGAGTTTTAAAACAAAATGTTACCTTTAATAACTCCTCTTCAAAGTTAGCAACTATAAAGTTAGAATTTAAGAAATTGGTACTCAGTATGGAATTTTTATTATTCTGTTGTCTATTTGCAGATACTAATAACACCATATTGTTCATTGATGTTAACATCTGTCATCTAGCCAAGTATTGATTAAATCACTTGAAAATATGTGAGGAACATGGGGAGTTAAAAGAGAGTTGATTACATATTTATACATGTTTGATTTAAAACCATCCTTTAATCTAGTGGAATTTAAATGAGGTAAATTTCAAAAGAGTATTTTTTTTTTCTGTCTCACAGGAGAAATTTTCTCACTCTTTGGAGTTTATATACTGAATTTCTTAACAATAATTTAGACATATGCAAACATACGATTTAATTTTGTCTATCTGAATATTTTTAACATATTCAAATATAATCTAGTTACTCTTCACACTTGATAATTTTATTGGCAGCAAGGAAGATGATTTGCCACAGAAATAAAGATTTCCCTTCTTGCATAAACCTTGGAACAGTGACAGAATTTATTTAAATTTTTATAATTCTCAATTATTTCCAGGTAAATATCATTGGTTTATAGATCCTTGGAGGTTATGTTACACAAAATTGTTATATATATTATAATTTATGGGCCTATTTGCTAAAGTAATATTTTTATATGTTTCCTGTATTTTCATAAAAGTATTCAAGTACTCTAACGTCCATAAAAAGCAAAAAAAAATTAAGTTGCCAAATTTGATAAGGCTTAAATCTTCCGTATTTATTATCTATGTATGGAATTCATGCATAATGATGCATATTTTTAGTTAATATTGTGTAATTTTTTCTGGCATTATACCGAAAAGTAATATGAAAAGTAAATTATTAGTTTTCTGACCATGAATCCAATTGTTTACTAATGATCAGCAGATATATCGTAAGTATGCATTATTGCTATTGTGAGTGTAAGTAGTATCATATAAACACTACTGTTTTTAAGAGAGAGAGAGAGAGATATATAAATTACATTTCTGGTAATTTATGGCCTGCAATGACATTCAACCAATAAAATGACTTTAATTAACTTACAGAATATTATTAGCTCATAGTTAACAATGATAGAAAAAAATTAATCTAAATATAATTTACAAAGGGAAAGTAAACATGATTGCAATTAGCAAGTGGATTTAAGTACATGTCGAGGATACCCTAGAATACAGTTGATTAAGAATATAGATATTATTTTGAAGGCAATGTTTGAGATAATTTCTTAATAGAGAAATAAACAAATAAGCTAACACTTTTGGAAATATTGTTACTAACAGTCAAATAAGCATATGTTTTAGAGGTAGGGGAAGAAGATAGAAAAATGCATTTCTGAAATTAAGAATAAAAATTTTTTTATATTTATTAAATATTGGGAATGTTTATGTGCTTTCACTTATCCCCAAATCTCTCATCTCCCATGTCTCTAAGTCTTTTCTGAGCTTAACCTTAGAAGACAATGACTGGGCCGGGCACAGTGGCTCACCTCTGTAATCCCAATACTTTGGGAGGCCAAAGCGGGAAGATCACCTTAGGTCAGGAGTTCAAGACCAGCCTGGCCAACATGGTGAAACCCTGTTTCTACTGAAAATACAAAAATTAGCTGGACGTGGTGGCACATGCATGTAGTCCCAGCTAATAAGGAAGGTGAGGCGGGAGGATCGCTTGAACCTGGGAGGCAGAGATTGCAGTGAACTGAGATCACGCCACTGCACTCCAGCCTGTGTGAGAGTAAGATTCCCTCTTACACACACACAAAAAGATTATATTAATTTAATTTGGGAAGATAGATGTTAAACACGGCATGCTAAAACATTGGTCTCTAGGAAAAAATCCTTTCATGTTTTTAACTACTCTAAATTCTGTTTTTTTATGTTTCTCTAGAATTTCAATAAATATTGTCTTAATTAAAAGACAACTTCTGTGAATTACTTTATTGTGGCTCCTTGTTCTTTATTTTTCTGTATAATAAATGTCATATTAATATAAGTTGCAATTAATGTAGCTGTCATAATTTAATTACCATAATCCAAAGCTTTTGTATTTAATATGATGTATTGCCCTTTAAAAAATAATATTAATCCAACCTGTACTCTAATAAACTATTTGGTTGACTAAATATATTATTTCTGTATCATGCAAATCAAGTTAAAATAAGTTGGCCATAATCAATATATAATGGAAAATATATTTGAATAATATTTATGTAAGTTGAACTTGATCAACAACATATGATTTAAAAATAAATCTCACATAAGAAGTTTAATATTTGCATTTTCAGGTTCAAGTTTAATTTACATTTTAACTTACTATACATGAACCAACTTTCATGCTTAAAACAATTAAATAAATTGATAGCTTCGAAGGCAAACCAAGAAGTTGTTTTATTTTTTTAAATGCTAGTCTAAGCTTATGGAAATAACCATATGAATCTGAAAACTTTTGTTGAATCATTATGCTGACACTGCTAGAATATTTTCTTACCCCAGAACACAAAAGCTACTTTATATTTTTGAGGTATTTATAGAAAACTTAGACTCTTAAAGAAAAACTGTGAAATTTTGGTTGCAAAAAAGGAATAAAATTAATTGAACTTTAGGTTGTTGAATAATTACTTTGAAATTCAGCCTGTAGAGCAAAAGTTTTAATGATAATTGGACAGATTCAAAACATATCTTTGATTTTGGACAATCTGCGTAATCTTGCCAATTCATACACAAGCTGTGGTGTCCTGGAGCTGGCGCATAATAGACCATGAAAACTGATTTTCAAGAGTCTGACATTATTTTGATGTGTCATTGCTGACAGCTTTCAGGCCTCACCAACTACCCTTTTCTGTTCCACATCTGGGTAAGCTGAGAAAAAGTTTTGGATGCTCTCTTCATTGGCATTGGAAAGAAATTCAAGCAATGTAATCCTTGAACTGTGTAAGGCAATTCTCACCCTACCCCAAGCCTGTAACAACAAAAAAGCCAGCCAAACCAATCTTCTTTCCCTGTTCTCTTAAGCTTGTTTTACGCCTGCTTGGGAATCTGCCCTACTCTTCCCAGAAAGCCTCATTATGTGTATAATAAACTTTTCATACCCTCTTGGTATGTATGACATCATCAGTCTTGACATCGGAACTAAATTTTGGCTGAAGGTTCACTTGCTTCTGTGGATTGACAGCAACATAAAATTTCAGAAATTACGTGAGACAATTGTAAAACTAAAGCAATATTAAAAGTTTAATTATATAAACCTACATCAAAATAATATTAACCTCAAAAAAACTAATATTCAAAACCTATACTTTCTAAGAATTTATTTCATTTTGATATTATCTAAGCTTTAGAGATTATTGATATCTCTATTGTTCAGGTGATGCAGAAATACTAAAAAGTATTGTGGTACTAAATATAACTTTTCAACTTTATGATCAGTGAAATTGGTAGCTTGAAATCAGCCAGAGTGAGAGAACACCACAAATGGTACAAATCACTTCTCGATTTGTTATTATGTTGACTGTCTACACTTATGTCTATATTTAAGTGATAAAAAATGTTAATGTATATTAAATTTTTAAAGTATCTTGTTATTTTTTAAATTGTAAAGAACACAAAAATACTTGAGGAACTATTTGAATATTTTAAAACTATTGTCAAACTTAGCAAAAATGCTAGTAAAGAGTGCAAGAAGATATCACATGTATCTTTGTTGTTTTATTTTTGTCTTACTTGTTAGTATAACCAAAATATAAATAAAAATATCAACTATGATTCATTCTGTAACTATGTGCACAATTCTGGTCGTTAAATATTTAATGAAACACCATGCAAGCAGTCAGAGAAATACACAACCATTTCTCCCGTAGTTGTTGACAGGATTTTATGTTGTGTGGGCTTTTGTACTGTGGAATTCAGTTCCTTGCTGACTGTTTCAGAAACTTATCTAAGTTCTTTTTATGCAGGCCTTTACATAGGGCAACTAAAAAATATGGTAACTTAATTACTTTATAGTGACCAAGCAAGAGGGTATGAGCAGGCATCTAAGATGTAAGCCACAAATTCTTTGCTACCTAATCTCAAAAGCTAATCACATCACTTTTGCGGTATTCTGTTCATGAGAAATGAGTAAAGAGGCTCATTTAAGAGGCTTAAGAAAGGAGACTTAAGATAAGAGATTGCACAAAATGTATGTATCAAGAGGTGGGAACCTTTGGGTGTTGTAGGTTGCCTTTCATATAATGAGCCGTACATCTCAGCTGCAATTGAAACCATGGAACTCAAGGAGCCATCAGGAGCCTCTCATTAGAACCAGGGTTCATGAGGTTCAGGTGATAAATAGAGCTGGGATGAAAATTAATCTCCTAATGAGTCTCATGGATTCCTGAAACAACTGCTTGGTTATTTTCCTGGTTCACTGCAGTTATAAATATATAACTGCAATGGTATATTCAGCACCTGAAATAAAATTTATGTTGATTCTGCTAACTTAGGATTTAAGGGCTCTTATGGTAGGAAAGGTCAAGCAAAAGCCCCTAAATTGTCCTTCCAGCCAAGTCACTAATCAGGTGTAATGCCCTATGTCATGAGGAATTGCAGAAATTATTACACCCAGTAAAGATTCGAAGAAGGAAGCAGAGTGGCCACGATCGTATCTCCAGTCATCAGTATGTCCTATGCACAAACAGGGCGATCATGGCAGATGATAGTGGAATAGCACAAACTCAAGCATGGGGTAGTCCCAATCACAGCTAAATGTCATTTTTGTATTTTGCAGGAACACATCAACACTAGTCCTGGCATTTGGTAAGTATCTACCGATTTAGTCCGTGTTCTTCTTTATTTCTCTTAGTTGGTAGGGTGAAAAGCAGTTTCAAATTGCTTAGCAACGATTGCAGCACAGATTTGTTGCCTTCACTCTTGCCAGTGTTGACTCTCTGGTCCTCTGTCACAACATACAATCCAGTGACATTTATTATTTTGACCTTCTGCTCATACTCATGTTAACTATATTTGTAACTGGTGACACCATTTTAATTGCACCAATTGAATAGGAAAGCAAAACAATATAGTTTTCCTACTAAGATACGTACATTCAAGAAGGTGGAAGTTAAATGTCATAAAAATTAAAAGACACTAAATAGAGATTGTTTTTTTTTCCATAAGGTCAATGATGGAGGACATGCTGGGACATACAGTTCAAGATACAGGGTAAATTGTTCTTTCTTGCATCTTCTGTCACTATCACTGGATTGCATTCTTTGAATATTTCCTTCAGTGGCCGCACCAATCCTGGGAAACAAACTTATAATCACATGGGGGAAATGAGCCCCTAATTACTTTACACTACCATTGTCAGATACCAGTTACATGCACCTCAACACAATTCTCAATGATACAGAGATGTTGCAGATATTCAAATTTAAGCCAGGTGTGGTAGCTCACACCTCTAATCCCAGCACTTTGAGAGGCCAAAGTGAGACAACTGCTTGTGCCCAGGAGTTTGAGGCCAGAGTGAGCAACATGGCAAGATGGCGTCTCTACAAAACAATTAAAAAATGGGCACAGTGGCAGGCACCTGTGGTCTCAGCTACTTAGGAAGTGGAGGCAGGAGGATGGCTTCAGCCCAGAAGGTCAAGCCCCCTCAGAAGTTCGAGGCTGCAGTTAGCAGTGTTCACGCCACTGTACTTCAGCCTTGGCAACAGAGCTAAACACTGTCTCAAAAGTAATACTAATTTTATAAAGAGAAAGAAAGAAAACTAATGCAATGTTCTTCTTTGGTTACTGGACACCATTAAACACATTATTCTAAAGCTCTTGGAAACAAAAATCTACCATTTATGGAATACTTGCTCTAGGTCAGACACTGGGCTTATCACAGATTCTTTATATGTAGGAATTGAGGCTTAGAAAAATTACATAATTTAAGAAACCAAGGTTATGTAACTGGAAAGCGCAAAGCAGAAAATTGAATTCTGCTTGAATATTTTAAAGTCTGCTAATAAATATTTATCTAAAAAGTCCTTTTTCATTTTTAAATCGCAGATAAGAATGTTTTCCTTCTAAAGTAGCAACAAATATGTAATATTTTCAGATTAATATGATGGTTAAGTGTTTATTTAAAATTTCTCCCTTAATAGCATAGCAAATACACAAGAAAACTGTAAAATATTTTATAAATAACAATTAACCTTTTATCCCAACCTGTTTTATTTACAGAGGTGTTGAAGAACCAGACTCGATTAAAAACCAAATCAAATACACACTTCTTCTATTTTATGTGTAGTTAATATTCTATCATCATTCCTTACATCTTTAAATCAGTGTAATCAGTATTATATTATCAGTTCAGGTGAGAGAAGATAAGCTTTTCTGATAATTTCCCTAAGAATTAAACTCCTGATATTTTGTTGTATTATTTTGAATCTCTCCTGAAACTCTTCTTATCTGTGGTTAGTATTGTGACCATGTGTAATTTAAACTATTTCTACTTTAATGATTGAGCTTAAAAGGGCATTTACTTAAATCTTTACAAGAGAGAGGGAAGATAATCTAATCAGATTGTAAAGGTTTAGAAGAATGGGTGTGATTGAACCTCCCTGAGAAGATTTGCCGAACGCAAAACAAGCTCCCCAGAAATCTAGACAATTCTAGGTGAGCTAAAACTTGTAAAATGCAAAACAAATCATAAGGTTTGCTTTTAGGTCAGCAAATATTAACTATTTTTTGCAAGAGACATTTGTTATACCCAGGGAAAAATGAACTACCAAATCAGCAACTCACATATTTTATGTTGGGTATGGGTTTATAAAGGATTGGCAATATGATTTTATATATACATTGCAAACTTTAAAATAAAATCTGAAAATCCAATGAATGTTTATTTTTACACGGGACTTGATGATGGAGCTTCTATGTTTTGATAATAGACAAATGTACATTTCTTTCCCAAAATAGTCTAGACTTGCAGAATTCTGTTATGATTATTTTATATATCTTATAGGCCCCACTTTCCATCTTAATATTGGTTTTTTTGGACTAGCCTTTTGAACTTTATTCTTTCGTGTTTTTAAGTGAGTTTTTCAAGAAATGCATCTACTTTTTAGTTTATTCTGGAATAATCTTGGGATTTGGCAAATTTTATTTTTTAACTTATTATTTTTTAAATTTCTTCTCATATCTTTATTGCCCCAAATACATAAAATAGAAGTCTTTTACTTAAACAGTTTTATCTAATCAGGGTGATAAGATACAGTAATGATGATACAAGATTATCCTCAATGAAAAATCAGTACTTCAGACATAATTGCTATTGGGGACATTGTTGATTTGGCATCATTTTTGTAATATAGGGCTTGCTTGATGCAGCATAATTGACAGAAAAATTGTAAAAATAAATGGTGGAACATGCCATGCTTGAAGCAAGCTCTTGATTATAAATCACAGCTAGGGGTACCGTGGTTCATACCTATAATCCCAGCACTTTGGAAGGTCGAGGCAGGTGGATCTTTTGAGCCCTGGAATTTGAGACTGCCTGGGCAACACAGGAAGAGTTCATCTCTATTTAAATAAATAATAAATAAATAAATAAGAAATAAATGATAGCCAGGAATCATTTTAGAGGCAAAAATTTAGAGCAGAAGATCTGGCTACAAGGGCTGTGACCAAATAGATTGGTCTACTGGAGTAGCAAGATGTGCCAAAAAATAAAAATAAAAACAAAATGAAGTACAAGGGTGACAGGATACTTGATAAGAGGAAGTAATGAAAACACAACCTAGTGATGAGAGAATCATGGGGAGAAACAAAAAGAGAGAGCATTTCAGCAGTTGTCCAGAAGGGAAGAGCCTGCAGATTACACATACTGCAGCAAACTGGGGAACATAAAATTCTTCCAAATGTTGCAGCAGCTATTCAGCTTCATGCTATTGCTGCTATATAACAATGAGTGCCTGGTATTGCCAGTTCTTCGATGTTTCAATACGTTTTTGATGCATGATATTGTGAACTTCAGAATGTGGTGAAAGCCAAGCTAAACAATTGCCTATGAACCGATTGTGTCTCTATGAGTCCATCAGGAAAGTCTTATGCATCTAATAATCACTTTCATTTAAAATGGAAAATTTAAGTTCTATAATTATGTATTTGACTTTGTATATTAATACATGTTTTATATCTACATATATAAGTATACATATATGCTTACAAATGAAGATGATAAAGTCAAAATAAGGACGCTTCCCTTATTTCTTTACACAAATATTTTGATTTCTTGTAGTTTATGTGAAATCAAGGCTTAAATGAAATAAAGTCTTTAATGTGACTATTTTACCAATTAAGAAAAAACTTTCTTTTTGTTTGCAATATATTGTTCATATTTTTATTAGTGAAAGGACCCCTGATTCAATTTATTGATGCTATTAGTATTTTAGCTATTTTCAGTAAACTCACTACATATTAGACATGTTTTATTTCTGTCTAGTTGTTTAAATCATTCATTCATAGATACACCCTAGGTACCTGTCATATAAAAGACTGCTGTAGGCACTGGGGATACAGTAGTAATTGAAGCAGGCAAGAGCTTACCTCCAGTGGAAAATATATTCTAGTTGAAGAGACCAACAGTAAACAAATAAATAAAATATAAAGTAGATTACACTGTGATAAATGTTAAGGATAAAAAAAAAATCAGAGAAAGGGGAATTTAATTGTTGGCAACTGGTAGGTGGAAAGAAGAGCAAGTTTTGAAACTTCAGACTGTGTGGCCAGGGAAGGCTCCATTGAGAAGGTGACTTCTAAGTAAAAAAAAACAAAGGAAGCCGGGCATGGTGGCTCACGCCTATAATCCCAGCACTTTGGGAGGCCGAGGTGAGCAAATCACGAGGTCAGGAGTTCGAGACCAGTCTGGCCAACATGGTGGAAACCCCGTCTCTACTAAAAATAAAAAAAAAATAGCTGGGCATGGTGGCAGGTACCTGTAATCCCAGCTACTTGGGAGGCTGAGGCAGGAGAATCCTTGAACTCTGGAGGCAGAGGTTGCAGTGAGCCGAGATCACGCCAATGCACTCCAAAAAACCCCAAAGGAAGTGAGGTAATATTTTAAAATATCTGTTGGAGGATATTCTAAACCAATGTTTTTCAATATTAATTAACTATCCTCTTAGGAGCCTTTTAAGGCATTCATTAACTGTATCTACCCCAGTACACACAAATAAAATTAAATCCTAAGAAATAAAATTTTGATGGGTTGGGTTTAACATTGGATAACTACTGATAGCTGCAATAGCTAAGATCTCTTTTTTTTTTTTTTGGCCTCTAAGAATCAACTTTTGCTTTCTTGGGAATGATATAGACCAAATTGAGAATGCATATCCTAGACTTAGATAAGAACAAAGGCAAAGATTTAGACATAATTATTTGGTAGTATGTGGTTACCTAGGAACAGCAAGAAGGTTAGTGTCTGAGTCAACGATAACTAGTGAGAGAATAGTAAGAGAATAAAAGAGCTAAGAGAGTAGGGAGATCATTTAAGAAGTTACAGATTAAAATATGGACTTCGACATCATTAGGGGATTTTAAGTAAATGAATGGCATTGTCTAACAAGTTTTTACTATCTCACTGGCTGTTCTGTTGAGTCTAGTGGGAACAACAGCAAAAGCAAAGAGAGCGTATAGAAAATGTTTGCAATCAGGCCTGGCTATATAATTTTGGGATCCCAATGTGAAATGAAAATGTTGAACTTCTATTAAAATAATTATTCAGATATCAAGATGCCAAGAGCAAAACATTAAGAACAGAGCCCTTCTAAACACAAAGATCTGGAAGACTGGACACCAGAAAATAGGTTGCAGACACTTGAAGCTGGCCCTGTTTGCAATTATTTGTGAATTAGGGTAGCAATATTGGTGGTGGTTAAAAGAGATTAAAAGTTGGATATTGGAGGCATAACAGACTGTATTTCCTCCTAATGAGCGTAAGAAAATGACAGAAAGAGAGGACACTTAGATTCCGCCCTAAGTAATAAAAAAAAAAATTAGACTTTAACTGAAATAAAGGCAGCAAAGGAGTTGACTTGGTAGATTTGTTTGTGTTACTGTCATTATTCTCAGAATTTCATATAAGATGTTTCTGAATTATAATTTATTTCCTATCTTTTATCTGCATTATCATTAACATATCTTAAGAGTTATTTTAATTTTAAAAATGTTGTCAAAAGTGTGTCTTTTATTTGAATAACAAAACTGTCTCTTTAAGTTGAAGACTACAACTTTTAGTTTATCAGTTTCAGTAGTTATTAATGAAAATATATTAAGAATTCACATATATTTATAACATACATAAATATATACATGTTTGTCAGATGTCTATTGGTTCCATTCTTGTATTTTATTCTACATTGAGTATCTTTAAGATTCGCAATTGCCTTATCCCTTTGAAAAGATTTATTGATAAATTAAATATTTATGTTTAATTAAACATGTATATCTAATTTCCTTTCACCCTCATTCTTACTTGTTGAGTGATTGCAAAATTATCAAGTCTTAGAATTTTTTAAAAATGAATTCCTAAACAGCATAACACATTTTGAGACACAAATTCATAAGACCCCTATGTAATATGCTTATTATTTTTTAAAGGCCTCATCTGGTAGTGTCTATTAAAATTTAAAATGTGTACATTCTATAAATGATCAAGTGCACTTCAAAGCCACCTCTATTTCTTAATTCTTGATAGCATTCCTTCCTATGTTGACTTTTGTTCTGTAATTTCAAATGTTCCAAGGACACAAATATCAAGTAAATTGCCTATAATTGTATTCATAGTTGTTATCAAATTCAATTAATAAGTATGCTATATATATGAAAAAGTGATTCAAGCTTTAGTTTTTGTGCTGATCTTTTGCGTACTTTTAAATCAATGCTGACAAAAAGCCTTAAGATGCTCTTCAGCCTCAACTCTGGAGGTCAGCAAGGACAGAAAGAGCAGAGAGCTGATAAAACGGAGTGAACAAGGCAGACTGAGCCACTGTGATTATTTCCTCAGTGTCTGTTTTGCAGGAAGATTTTGTTATCTTAAAACTGATGAAGATTATACAGGTTATTTTTCTTTACTTTTTTTTTAAAGGTTATTTTTCAAGGTATGGGATGAATAAAAAAAAACTATTCAATCATGCTGTCAAAGATTTGTGTAGCTGAAAGCAGAATTTATATTAGAAAATGTATTTCTTTTCTATATTTGATAAAACTGAGACCTCAAAATTGATAATTATATTTGTGTTTCCTAAATTTGATGAAGCAAAACAACTGAGAATTCGAAAATAGTGTCTTGACTAAGATGAATAATTACTTTCAAAAGTAATACAATAAAGTGAGAATGAACATGCCATACCACAGAAACTGATACCACAATGAAAAGTAAATTTTATGTTTTGTATTATTTTAATTTCTAATATGAGAAATAATTATTATCAGTAACATGGCTCTACCACAGTTATTCATTTCCAAATACAAAACACATACTACTATAAAAACTATTTATTTGAATTTATCTTTCCAAATAATAAAAAATGTTTAAAATATGGGAAGACTTTACAATATGAAAGTGTGTATAAGCCTGTGTGTTTTAAAATAGGAAGACAGAAAAAAATGACATCAACGGCATCTTAAGCATCTCTTTGAATTTCACATAAAGGATTTCCATATAAAAGTTTCAAGTAATAATTCAAGATGTATTTGCATTTTATTTTTCTTAAAGATTCTATTTCATGGTTCCAAACTGTTTTTTTTTTCTTAAAAAAAACCTATAAGGAATAATTTACTGATGAGTCTTAGAAGTGAAAATATGAAAATGAAAAGCAAGGACGAACACATTTATATTCTATCATTTTGTGGAAAAAAGTCAGACATCTACTACTAACAGCTGTCAGTAATAATTCTGCTTTGAGAGACAGACTATATCACATGCAATATTTGAGATGCTAATTACAAATGTGAATTAAATATTTTGAAGGAGTACAGTGAGTGAAAAACAAATACCAGTTGGCAATTTTAGTAATCTTATCCATCCATATTCAATCAGTAATATCAGGCAATTTAAAATTTGTAATTAAGTGAAATTATACATATTTCACAATTGTGCACACATAGAATGCATAAAATTAACTAAGATAACCAAAAATGTAATTTGAAATTAAAATATTTCCAAAATAGCTCATCAAATAATTACTAATATTAATGTTTCAATTTATTTATGATCTTTCTGTAGTTTTGCCTCCGTACTCAGAATTGTGAGAGTTGCATCACATTCATTGTTTATAGGAGGCAGTATCTCAGTTCTTCAATTAATGCAATTTTTCTAGTATTATTTTCCAGAAACATAAAATGAGTTTTAGTAACATAAAGGTCCATAAATACCATCATAGGCAATGCCTTCTATGTCATGAATATACAACATTAAGGAAAAAAATATATACATGGATTTTTGTATTATTTCTAGACTGAATGCTAGCCAGAATTTTAGCATTGAATAATTTATGTATTAAATATTTAGAATAACATACCATGCACTGTGCTAGATGCTGAATAAGATACAGAAGGTTATTTTCCTTTTGAAGCTTGCATTCTTGTGGGGAATCCAAATTTTAAAAAATTATTTTCAAGTGTGCTGAATGTTACCAAAGAGAGGAATACTATGAGTTGAATTAAGAAAAGTCAGAAGACTGCATCCTCAATATGGTTTAAGGAAGGAAGACTGTACATTCCAGTTTGCTGTAATGGGCCAATCTATGTCCATTGTCCAGGTATAATAATTAAAAATGACCTACTTAATTTTCATAATTGTTCCAGTTTAAGCAATAAATAATAGTTATTCCACTTAAGACTGTCTTGATTGTCACTTCTCTCGATTGCTCTTTTATCTTCCGTTAAATAACAAATATTTAAAAACTGCGCTTCTCTGTATTTTCACTAAATACACATTATTGATTAAAAAAACAGCATATATTTTGTTATCATTCAATATTATTGGAAACCAAGGCTGTGAAGATCTTACAAAACTCACCATAAACTCACCTAGATGGTTAGTCAATTTACATTTACATGGAAATTTCCTTAGGGAGTCTGCAGACAAAAATCAAAATTATCATTTTTTTCTTCTATCGATACATACTATTTTATATATTTATGGGGTGTATGTGAGTGTTTATTACATGCATGGCTTGTAATAATAAAGCCAGGGCATTTGGAGTATCCCTCACCTTATGTATTGATTATTTTCATGTGTTGGTATCATTTCAAGTGCTCTCTTTCAGTTACTTTGAAATATACAAAATAATGTTGCTAAGTATAGTCACCCTAGTCTGTTATCAAACATTAGAACTTATTTCTTCTGTCTAATTCTTTGCTTATAATGCTTGATCATCTTCTCTGCATTTCCCCCCTCCCACTCATCCACCCTTCCCAGTCTCTGGTATCTATGATTCTATCCTCCACCTCCATGAGAGCCAGTATAAAGTGGACAAAGACTTAGTTGTGATTTTCAAGTGCCATGCCAGGTGGATAGAAATATCAGTGTGGTAAGTTATTTAGCAGCAAGTTATCATTAAAATGGACTAAAATACACAACAGCTTTAAATGTATTTGCATTTAAATTTTCATGTTATAAAAAGTATCGGATGTCATTAAAACAAAACCAACATACTAAATCTCTCATGTCCTTCATAGAAGTGGTCACTTTTTCACCCAAAAGCATGCTTTCCCTGAAAACTACTTTCCAAAAGATGAGAGACAGGAATGTGCTTAGCTTTTCCTCTAGAGAATGCATAGCCAGATACCCATCTCACCATTTCAGTGCTGACAGGTGAAGCTGTACAATCTCTGGTTTCCCAATTTTTTTTGCAGATCTGCTCCTTTCACGTAGTTCAAGTACTGTTACACCGTTAGATATTGGTTGCAAGCAATAGAAATCACTTTTGGTTATGCAAGACAAATGTATTAAAGAGTTTATAAAAAAATGAATGGGTATGCAGAAGCACCAAACTTGGGCAAGAATTAAGGAAGATAAGGCACAGCCAAGATCCTTCAGCAGAAAAAATCAGGTTAAACTAGCATTGGTGCCACTATTGCTACTTGATATTTCACCATGCTCACTGCTTCAGGACTTGGGCTTCCATGCAGCACCACTCTGCCACTTTTGGTTAATTTGCATTCCTGACACCATTGTATCCTATTGAAGAAGATCATTTTATACCTTTGATAGATTTGGCAAGGAAACAAGGACTAATGAAGGTGGCTTAGAAAAGACTATTAAAATAGTATGATAAGGACATGGGGAAAGCATGAAAAAAAACTAAAATAAGAACCTATGTGAACATTATTAATAAAACCATCATCTACCTAGTCATCCAGTTGCCATATATAAAATAATCCATGCCCCTTTGAGACCCTAATCAAATTGATTGCATCGTTCTATTTTTCTTTTTCATCTCTATTTTCTCTCCTTTGAATTTGTCTTTTTTCTCCTTTTTATTATCTTATGATACTTTTAATGTCTTCTTTTACTATATTATCTGGTATAGAATATAATTTTCATGAGTAAAAAGCATATTGCATGTTAAAAATTTTTGGTCTGTAAACCATAAATTGACAATGTAATGTGTTTATGTTATCATTATGAACTGACTGTTGCCGCTCCACAGACCACACCAAAACAGTGGCTTAAAACAACACCATTTTATTTGTTCATGATACTGTGGGTGAGAAATGTGAACTGCGGTCAAATGAGTAGCTTTTCTGAAGGGTTCCATCTGGGGTGCTCTCGAGCTGTAGTCATGAGATGCCTTGACAGAGATTGAATGATCCCAGATGTCTTTGCTCACATGTGAAGCTGCTGGATGCTACATGTGGACTGTAGCTTTTGACTTCTTTTGAACGTGGTTTATTATCTTCCAGTGACTCCATTTCTTTATTTAGGGGGATCATGACAATGTTTCAAGAGGAAAAGAAAAATTGCTGGGCTTCTTGAGGAGCCATCTCCTGAACTCTCAAAATGTCACATGTGCATCATTCTGTTGGTCAAGGGAAATCATATGTCCAGCCCAGATTCAAGAGATGAGAAAATAGATTCTCTTTCTTGATTGAAGGAATAACAAAGATATTACACAAGAGCATACACATAGGGTTAGAAGGAGTTATTGAGGCCATTCCCCCTGCCTCCCCCAAATCAACCTCAATACCTAACACAAAAAGAATACAAATAAGTAATACAGGGGAGGAAAAATGCTTCCTTCTACCCTCTTAGGTTCTTTGGCTTGTCTATGAATTTAATTGACATAAGAGAGATTAACAAGAGAAAAACTATATCAATTATGTACATACACATAGGAGTCCCACAAAAATACAGGGCTCAAAGAATTGGCCAGAAGATTGAGGCTTACACTGTGTTTCCTCTTGAAATGGGAAATTACATGGAGAAATAAGAGCTTGGGGCCTCTAGGTGGTACTAAAAGCAAATTATGAGAGGGTGAGGAGACAAGCCAGATTCAGATGAGATGACCAGGAAAAGCACCTTAAAACAAAGATAAGATTTGTTGCACAGATTTAAGTCTACACCTTCTTCATTGATTAGAAGTCTCTAGTGATTTAATTCTTTTTTCCCTGGTACAGATAAGGAGACACTCTTACAAATGGAAAATTATTTAATCAACATAAAAGGCCAACTTTTAAGAGCTATTCCTGTGTCTGCAGTTCCTTAAAATAACCAGCTCAAAAGCATCAACCTGCCAAAGAAGAATATGTTAGGGTGATGCATTCTGGACTTGTATAGTCATGTTTTAGGGCAGAACATAGCGAATCTCATCATTAATTTAGCCACAAAAAAAAGCTTTCCTTTCCTATTAGGCATACAATACTAGTTGGGAAAGCATATCCTAGTTGATGGACATAGCAGTAAAGGAAGGGTACCTTTTTGACTCTTTCCGCTTTTTCATAGTAGCATCTTAATCGCAACTCACTCAAATATATTTTCAAAAAAAAACTGTTTTCTGAATGCAAAGGATCTTTTAATTCATATTATTTTCTCAGTTCAAATAAAGAAAAAAGGCACTATTAAGGAATTAAAAAACAATTTTAATAAAATAAAACATTCAGAAGAGAAAATATGTGGCAGGCACATTGTAGTATTAAGAAAGACATATGAGATACATTAATTCAATTAAAAAATGGCATCACTTAATCTCCGTCTATGTCTTTCATTGTGGTATAAGAGTTTATTGCTCAAAACAAAGCACCAAGGTGGAACGAAGAAATGGCCGGTATACTTTGAACTTATTCATTATTGATTCATATTAGGTAAGGGAGGGATGGGAAGCAAGTATTATATTGAGAAAGAGAGAATGAGCAAGACAGGTCAACGTCTACCATTCTAGTATAGAGTAATAAAAGACTGGTACTTTAGTATCCCTTTGTCCACCTCCTTGACCTACTTGCAAGAATTCAAGGTCCTCGCAGTAGCCATAGAATCTAATTTATTCGCAAAGACCTGAATAGAAAAAAAAAATCTACAAATTCCCCTTGGTAATATCTTTTAGGGTCTAGTATGAATTCCTGTCAAATTTGTCTTCCTGTTGTCCAATCTAAACCACTCCTGCTGTGAATTAAACATATTTCCATGTCTTCTCTCAGTGGAAATGAAGAGCAGCTGGTTATAATACTCCTTCATCTACTTACAGGTTACAGTTTTAAAAAGCACTTAGTTTATTTGTTCTGAAAAAGAAAAAAAACTTTTAAATGTTGGAATATTTTCTTCATGAGTTGATTGAAGGCCTTTAAGTGATCAAATACCATAAAACTATAAGCATGGCAACAGGACTATAGAGCAACAAAATATATATATTTCTATGTATATTTCTTTCCTTGCTCACTACGCTACATATGTTGATAGCTTTGAGACAGTCAAATTTAGTATTATTTTTGTCCCATGTGGGTCACATTCAGGATTTTTAGTGTTTAAATTTGTGTGAAAGTTGAAAAATGTGGATGAAAACAGAATAGAGTTGACCCTTGAACAATCTTGGGATTAGGGTGCTGATCTCTCACATAGTCAAAAATCTACATAACTTTTGACTCCCTCAAATCTTAACTACTAATAGATTCTTACTGATCAGAAGCCTTATTGATAACTTACACAGTTGATTAATACATCTTTTGTATATGTATTATATACAGTATTCTTACAATAAAGTAAGCTAGAGAAAATAAAATGTTATTAAGAAAATCATAAGAAAGATAAACTATATTTACTATTCGTTAAGTGAAAGTGACTAATTCATCAAGATCTTCATTCTCATTATCTTCATATTGAGTAGGCTGAGGAGGAAGAGGAAGAACAGGTGTTAGTCTTCCTATTTAAAGGATAGCAGAGGTAGAAGAAAATCCAAATATATGTGGACTTGTGCAGGTCAAACCTGTGTTATTCAAGAGTCAACCATATATGTAAAAGTCTTTAAGTATAATTTTAAAAACTAAGAATTCTTAATGAGTTTGAAGTATTTTATGTTGTCATCTTGATTTCCTTAATTTTAAAATTTGCTCTGTGAGAATAAGAAAATTTAGTGTAGTTGGGAGTTGACTGAGTGATGTGTAGAGACTTGAATTTCAGACTTGAATTAAATAATTGTCAGGAGACAGAAAAGACGTGGTTGGGAGAAAAATCGATTTCATCCAGGTGATATGCGGCATTATAAACCTCCAGAAAAACCATTGCCAAATGTATGTGTCTCAAATATCTCTTCTCCATACCATCATTTAATACAACATCCCGGCCCAAATGCTAATTATTTGTAGTAATGTTTGAATCATTGAAGGATTTCACCTCAGCATAGCCACTTAATGCATTCAGAAGATGCATAGTTCTAGACTCATCAGAACATCTATTTATAGATTCAACTCATGACTTAGCAAAGATCAATATAAGCATATAATAGTCAACAAAATATTAGTTTCTCTCCTCATCCTTAATCTAGCCCATATGCCATTTGAATTATATTAAATAAAAATTGTAGCAACAGAGAGCTATTTGGAGATCCGATGGTCAGGCAGTTAAGTAATATTATCTTCTTTACTCCTTGTCAAAATTGTAAAGCATTTGTCACTTAAACGCTGTAACAAGGCTGGTGGTGGAACTACTTGGGTGGAAAAAAATACCTTCATGTTGGTTCTTGTATTTCTGACTATTTCATGAATTCTCAACAACTCAAAGAAAAATAGAGGAAAAAAAATAATGTTCCAGGTATGATATTGTTCCTATACAAATATTGGAGTAAGCATGTGAGTAAATTTCCTTGCATATTTCTCAGACAGTTTAAGAATAGTTTGTCTTCTTCTAGGAGACTGCACAAATAAAGGGCTTGGTATTTTACTTCACCCTTTTTTTTTTTCCCCAAGCTTGAGGTAAATGCATCTCAGAAGGCTGTACATATGCTACATACAACTTTGATTGACACACCAAGGCAAAGTCAGTCTTCTAATGTTTATTGTTAAATAACCTTTCCCATACTTTATTAGATGTGCATTCTATTCTCCAATGGTGATTTCTTCTATCTTTAGATCTCCTGGGCTATCAGAGAGTTCAGCCCAATCACTATATTTATAATCTACCTACATTCTATTGCTGCACAGAATCCACCGTGAAAGTCAGTGGCTTTAAATAACAATAATATATTATTGCTCTTGCTTCTGTAGGTTGCCTTGATATCAGCTGATCTACACTGGGCTCCCCTGAGCAGTCTGTTTAACTTGGGCAGACTTACTCATGACTCCACCAGTCCCCTGGGAGCCAGCTGATTTATGTTGTGTTAGATCTCACTTTCTTCCTAGAAAAGGAAGGCTCATAAACCTAAGTGGGGAATATTCTTTTCATAGAGTTAGGAGCTTCAGGAGGGCAAACAGAATCATGTGAGGTCTCTATAGGCCTAAGCTGAAAATCAGCACACTGTCACTTTCATTCATACGCCACTGATCAAAACAGGTTTTTGGTCAAGCCCAAAGTTAAGGATCAAATATGTTCATTGGCCATTAGTGAGAGGGACCAAAGAATTTCCTGCCAGGAAGCATGGATGCCTGATGGGGCAAAAACCTAGTGCCAATAATAAAATCTACCTTTTAGTATCATCTGATCAATTTCCACACTTTACCCTTTTCTCACAACGACCTCGTTTCCCTATATAGAAATGATAAAGAAAAGAGAATTACTGGCTGGGCACGGTGGCTTATGCCTGATTCCAGCACTTTGGGAGGCCAGGGGCAGGAGGATCACTTGAGGTCAGGAGTTCGAGACCAGCCTGGCCAACATGGTGAAACCCTATCTCCACTAAAAATTGGCCGGGTATGGTGGTGCACACTTGTAATCCCAGCTACTCAGGAGGCTGAGGTGGGAGGAGTGCTTGAACCAGGGAGATGGAGGTTGCAATGAGCCAAGATCACATCACTACACTCCAGCTCGGTGACAGAATGAGACTCCATCTCAAAAAAAAAAAAAAAAAAAAAAAGAGAATTACTAACAGCTTTTCCTTCAAATGTAAGATTAGGAGAAAAACACTTCTCACATTGTATTATTGTTTAACATCTATCGTCTCTCTCTCTCTCGTATATGTGCACATACACACACAGACACTTTTTTTTTTAGTAGTTCATTATGTGTTTTTCATGTCAAGTGACAATGTAACCTAATGCAGGCTTGGCTGCTTACTGCTTGCAAAGCAAAATGGCAAGGACCAGGTGTGATAAAAATAAAACAAATTTATTCCAGAGCTTAGCAGTAGGGACACCCCAGAATTCACATCTAAAGAAACCACTTCAGATTTCTGGGCAGAAAGTGGGGGCTTGTGAATAGAAATTTTGGTATCCAGGGGCCAAAGAGGTATGGAGGTACAGGATCTATTTGACTTGCTCCAAAGATTTTATCTTGAGTAATGGGCCTTTTGGCGACCAGTCCAGCACCATTGCAGGTACAAAAGGGTTATAAATTAACCACTGTCTTGAGGCAATCTCCTGGTTGGGGAGAATTCTGGAAGGTGCCTAGTTTGTTTCAAGATTTGGTCCTCGGAACTTCTAAGCGAACATATAACTAGAAGAGCCAGTAGTGTTTGCAGGGGAGGGTGTGTTGGAAAGAAAGGAGGGTAAAGGTTACATTTGCATTTCTACAGAGCTAAGCAATCACACAAGGGGAAAGAGAAAAAATGAAAAAGGAAAGGAAATGGAAAAAAACAATTTTTTAAAAATAGGATATTCAGTTACAATATAATTATATTTTGCTGAAGTTTTTATATGAAGAATAGTTGTTAATTTTAAAAATATATATATTAGGAAAATTCACGTATTCATTTATTCAACCAATGTATAGTGAAGACCTACTAAATACCACTCAGGCACTAATGTTACATCCTGGTGGGGGCCAGGGAGGAACAACAACAAAAAAGTGGGCAAAACTCCTTGCCTTCATGGACCTTACATTCTACTAAGGTGAGAGAATCAAGAATATGAGAAAAAATAAACTGTTAAGATATACATCATGGTGGCATGTGTTTACTGCTAAGGACAAAAATATATCAGGGTATGGGAGTGTGAAGTGAAGAGAAAGGAGGGTTGCAAATTTAGATAAAGTGGCCAGGACAGACACATTGAGAAAGTGAAAGAAGGTTAAACAACTTTATAGGTTCTAAAAGAAGTTATTATTATTATTTTTTTTTTGGTAATGTTTGGAAAGGGATATACTTATATCCTGGAAAATAAAATAATTTTATTAAAAAAATTATTTTATTTTGCAAATAAAAATATTTGCAAAAATTATGACAGTGAGAAAATTATGACAGTTAAAGAGATCTCACCTTTAGCCTCCAAACTACCCTTGGTCACCCCTGGGCGTGGGCCAAGCTAACTTTTGAAGAAATTTAGTTTATAGTTTAAATGATAATAGTCCTTCACCAAAACTAAACTGCCTTTGTAAAAATACTGAAAGGTTACCAGGTTAAGAGGATGAGTAAGGTCTGAATTCTGCTAAGATGTAGGCATAGTTAAATGATTACCAGCCTTTTTTCCAGAGGTCACAAGATTTGCAATTTACCCAGTTACTCCTGTAAATAACATCACTATTGCAGAACCTAAGATTGGCCTTTGAAATGTCTTTTCAGCTTTTTGCAATTCTGATCACTATCTGGCCCCACCCACCCTGGTGATTCTTGACTCAAATGGTCCTCTGGCCCCCACTAAGTGAACTCAGCATGAGGACTATTTTCCACATCCCTATGATTGCATCCCCAGTCAGTCAGCAGCACCCATTGCCTAGCTCCCTGCCCATCAAACTATCTTTGAAAAACTCTAGTCCCAAAATTTTGGGGGAGGCTGATTTGAATAAAGATAAAACTCCAGTCTCCTGTTTAGCTGACTCTCAGTGTACTAAACTCTTTCTGTATTGCAATTCCCCTGTCTTGATAAATTGACTCTATCTGGGAAGTGGTCAAGAAGACCCAGGGCATATATAGTATTGAATAATGTCATACTTCAAGGATGAACTATAGTCATTATTATTCCTTATTGTGCTACCGAGTTCTATTTGTGAATATTATATTTAAATATCATATAGATGTTCAAAATCGTAATTGGTCTATAGTTTCCTTTATTGACACTATCTTTGTCAGTTTTCTTTTCAGTCAGTATTTCCCTAGCTTCTCAAAAAAATAGTATTAGAAAAATTTGCCTCTTAATTGTATTTTATAATCATTTAAATCAGAATTATTTATTCCTTATTATATTGGAAACAATTTGTCTGTGAAAGTTATTGGGGCAGGACTCGTTTGCAGGAGAGATAATTCTACATTAACTATCTGAACAATTTAAATATATATTTTAGTATCTTCGCATATAATAAAATTATGTATTAATAATATATATGTTTATGTATATATATACACATATATATAAACAAAGACTGTCTGACAAAAATTTAGTAAAGCTTCTAAGCTTCTAAACTTTCTCCTAGGCCCATTTGTATTTACCTGTAAAATCTGGTTTTAAAGCCAAAAACTCTGCTAAATTGATTTAGCAAGAACCCTGTCAAAAGACAAAATTACAACAAACTTAGTTTAAAGATCTCATTGGCTTTATTTGTGAGTAATGAATCAGGGCACCTTTCATTCTACAAAGTCTCATGACAGAGTTCCCACTGGGCAATGGCAGGAGAGTAGGTTTTGTAAGTTGGGAAAAGAAAACAGAAGAGAAAAAATCTGAACTGATTTGTTAAAGTCAAGTTATTTCAGATTACTGTTCTTGCAAGGGTTAAAGCAGACGGGGCTTTCTTATTAAACTAAAACAGATGAACTGAAGTCTCCTGTTTTCAGGAAAAAACTAGTCTATCTTGGGATTTACCTGTTTCTTTAAAATTTCCATTTGATTACGTGACGTTTAGCATGATGAAGTGACGTTTAGCAGTTTGGTTTGTTTCAGTCTTCTGGGGCTTAGTGCAGGAATCTAATCCAAAACAATGGCCTCTCAGAAATTTTAACAACCCCAAATCTTGATATCTAATCATTCTCCCTATCTTATTGAATTTCACATTCTCCATTATCCCCCCACAGAATATCCTATCTCCCTGGTCTGCCTTCAGCAAGAATCCTGTTATATTGGTTCAACCAGAATCCCCCTTACCATTGATGTTTCCTTTTATATCACTTGCCATCTACTGACTCCCCACCCAGCTTCTTGGCTATGAATTCGTACTTGCTTATCTCGTATTGGAGTTAAATTCAATCTTTTTCCTCCATTGCAAGTCCCTGTTGCAGTTGTTTCTATACATATCACCATGAGCCTGAATAAATTCTTCCTCACATTGCTTTAACAAGTATCATTGAATAGTTTTTGCTTAAAAAATATATATACATCATATATACGAATATTTATAAGCTTCATACATACACATATATGTACAAAGTCAACCATTTATTGCTGGCTTTTAAAGAGATTTTCAGAAGTGTTTTCAATATATATTCTTGTGATTATTTAAAATTATTAATATAGGACAAGTATTGGTCAAAAATTAGAAAATAAATACTTTTCAGTGCCAAAACATAATTAATAGATTTTTTATTCTGTTTTAAATGAATAAAAGGTTCAGACTTCAAATATAGATGTCAGAAGACTCTTTTTAAAAGTTACCTTTTTATGTGTTATAATATCAAACAAATATATGCAACATCAAAATCAGTAACTGCTAATAACTTATACTCTTATTTTAGCTAGTATCTCCATAGGTTTCTCAGCCTATTGAACATACGGTCTTTACTTCATCTTTTTCAAATGTTTGAGTGGAAATAGAAACTCCCTCAATTCTACCTGCTTAATTGTACTTAGAAAGAATGGTAGGGGAAAGGTGCACCAACAAATTAAACTCTATTCATAAGCATCTGGTTACGAATATTCTGAATGCTGTGTGACTCCTTTTTTTATATCTATAAAGATTACAAGTAGAGATATCCATTACAGATTTTCATTTCTCATTTGTACTCCTAAGAATCTGGCTCTCTCTATTTTCCAATTGAGTATTATCAAGTAGCAAGCTTACTAAAAATTCTCATGACATAGTCCAATACATAAATACCTTCTAAGTATTAGTTGTATAAATGTATGTTATAATAACATCCATCAACCCCACTAAGTTCTTTGTTATTTCTCTTTCTTTAACTAAGTGGGAATAAAAGTCTATATGGAATGACTTGAAAAGTGTGTCAGTGGAGAAGTAGTCAGTAACAGAAAAATATGCGACTCTCTTAGCTTACTACTTTTCCAATGGACTGGGGAGAATTAGGAAGTTATTGGAGAGAGATGCTTGTTTAAGGAAAATTTTTTTAACATGTGTTTTCTTCTATAACTCCATACATGATAGAAACAAGAGAGAACTTCTAATGATGCAGGATGAGCGAGGACAATTTCAGTGTTCAAATCATTGATCTAATGGAAGGGCATGTCATCTAGATCATAAATGAAAGGTCTTAGACAAAAACAGGGACATTTCTTTATTGTATTGTGAGTAATGTCTGAACATAGGTGGTCACATAAAGGGGCACTGGTACACTTAAGAGTGGAAGGAGAGGTGCTCTCTTCTGATTGTTGCCATTTTTTAAATGAAATATTGGGAAAAGTTTTCTGCTGAGTGTACAGGGTGGATAGAAGGGTTGAAGTTTTAAACAGGAAGGTGAGACATAAAGTTATCTACTGATAATGATGTTGTCTAAATTTCTTGTGACTTCTCTCATGATTATCCAATCCTCCCTTCCAGTTGATTTATTTAGGTATCAACATAAGTGAATTCTACTCTTACATACTTTTTCTTACTCATGTATTGGTTCTACAGTAATTGTGCTTCTTTTCTCAGCTTGATTAGTTCTGCATTATCTATTTTATTCTGGTATTTTACATGTAAAATTTATTTGTATTGATATTAGAGTTTCTAATCTTAAGAGTTTGTGTGTCTTTCAACGTTAGCAAATAATACTGTTTATGCTTTTTTTTTCTTTATTCCTTCTGCAGTTTTTACCATGTACTTTTTTCCCTCTTACTAATTTTTAACACGGATAGCCCCACTGGAATTAGAGATAATATATCTAACAATTCTCCCTGGCTTCGTATGTCTTTGTCTGAGATTGGTTTTCTTTTCCTCAGAGATTAAGTCTAAAGGCTAAATTCACAGAACTCTAGTCTTCATGCTTTGCCTGTTGGTAGATTTAGTCTTTGATCTTTAAAATGTATTTAGAATAAAATCCTCAAATCATTTTAATTACTGGCATGTTTTATTCTTATTCAGGGTATTTTAAGCTTTTGAATAGTTTATTTCACTTCAGACTGACCTCAGGAACTTTGCTGTTCAGAGACAATCAGACTTAATGAATTCCTTCCTCATTCCAGTCTCCTCAGCAGATACTCCATTCTAGAAAAATGGAGAAACATATTGTTAAATTTTCAAGTGTCACCCTTGGAATTGCTAACCTATTGCAAAAGTGGAAAATTTCAATGTACACACAAGTTCTATGTTTCTCTACCCCGGAGCTGCTGACCAACTCAATTTTCTTTTTCTATATTATTTCCTGTTTAACGTTTCCTTTTCTAGTAGTACTTTTATTATTGAAGAATAAGGTTGTTTCAGGATTAATCAGTCTCTTTCTCAACAAATACCTAGATGAAAAAAATATTGCTTTGTTTTCTTTCATTGGTATGTCAGGATTACAATGTATATTGTATTCAGGTTGGTTTCTCTCAGAAGACTATAGATGGAGATTTACTTGCAGGAATTTTATCCATCAGTACACTCAGAATCAACAACACTAAGGGAAAAAAACGTAAGGCTGGGTAGCAGGAGAAATTGAACTATACCAAAGATCTCAGTCAATCTTAACAGGGGCACTGGAGCTGCAATGACTCTTCAAAATTGTACTGAATTGGAATGAGGGTTCTAGGCATTTATATTGCCAGCTCAGCTGGTCACTTGACATGGGTTACTCCAAGAAGAAGGTAATGATATTGAGCAAGCAGCTCTCCTCAGCCCATGGCAAGTGCTAGGAGTGACTCAGTTGGGAGCTATTGTCTGCCCACACTTTCAGCAACTAGGAGAATGAATCTTCCAGGCCAGAGTGTAGAAGAGGAAGTGAGGTAACAGAACATCAAGACATTCATTACAGTTTGGAAAGATTTTTTGGTCTTACAGGGTTATTTGGTGTCTCTCCTTATGATACCTAAATCCCTTCTGCCTGCTTCTCTAAAATGGATGATATGTGAGAAAATTTTCATCTTGTTTTTCTGTCACCATTCTTATGACTGATGAAAAACATGCAAATGCAAATATTATGTGACATATTTTATATTTTTAAAAACTGTGTTAATAAAAGAACAGTAGTTGGTTCTGATTTATATTTTTAAAGTATAAATTTATACAAAATTTCTGATATTATAACTTGACAATATATTTTGAAAGTACATAAAATATCTATTTTGAGTTCATCAACATCTTGAAGTTTATTCTATCTAAGGACTCAATAATTTGGAAACCAGTAATTTCCAAAGTTATATCCCAAAACTGCAATTTAGAAACAATAAGAGATTACTCAAATAAATTTTTGAGGCTCAATATATTGGAATAATATGCAAGTTATCAAAATAAGTGAAAATACAGGTTATACAAGTATACAGAAAGTTTATAATTGCATTTTTTATATATATATATATTCATATGTAAATATAAAATAACCTAGAGGGAAGCATAAACATGCTTATTGTCTGTAATTGAATTATAGGTTCTCTTATTTTTAGACCTATTTGTAGTTGACAGTTTTCTCTCATTATTGTGTATCATTTAATAATAAAAAAATTATCTTAAAAACCTCTGTGCATCATCTTTATATAATATGTAACCATTGGCAATAAATGTTTGCTCTTCTACACCAAATTTAGATCAATACCCCAATAAAGTTCCAGTTAATTTAATGGGAGATAAGGCAGAATTAAACCTTCTTTTAGATACAACTAAGGGAAACAAACAAAATTTTAAAATAAATCAGGAATTAGACACTACGAAGTCAAAACTAATTTTCAGTAATCCTATCAATAACTGTTTTTTAAATTATATCAATAAATATAATATTCTCCTAGTATATACATAAAATAAAATGTGAATATATAAATATTTGTATATATATCTATTAAATAAATAAGCAATATTCATTCAATCAGCAAAATAATATTTTATTGTAATATGCACATCAGAAAATATAAAGTGACCAAAAGTTTTACTAATTAAAATTTGGTTATTGTTAAAAAGAATCTTGTAATCTGAGCAGATAATTTAAAAATGGTAAATAATAATTCATTAGATGAAGACAAATTGCCCAAGTATTGAGTATATATGTTAAACATGAACCCTATTTATCTTACAAAGCTAGTAGCAGGGAAAAAAGTATTGTTTCTATGTATTTTAAGACCAAGAATGTGCATTTACATTTATTTTTCAGGCAAAACAGTATGAGCTTCATGAGGATGACAACTTCAATTGATCGCAGCATTTTCCCTCTGGAAATTTAGAGAATTTTGTAAGTTAGAAAACGAAAGCCTTCTTAGATGTATACCTGTCTCAGCAGTAAATATTTGACTTTAAGTTTATACAAAGTGAAGTATTCAATGAGAATCTGAGTCATTTTAACTGAAAAGATAGCTACATGCAAACCCAAATGGAACTATAAACCTGAAGGCCTTCATGGCATAAAACATGTTGATAGAAAATAGGATCTTAGAATATGGACTTAACCTATATTACAATGTTTGTGATGAGTAGTAGCCTTTTCACGGTACTCTTTTAATATTATTTAGTAAAAAAGTGTAGTAATGCAAATATGTGAAAAAAATATGTAAAATAAAAGATGATTTTGTTAGACCAGAGCCATTTAGATGGCCTTATTTTCTTAAGTACTACTTTTATTATCTTACAATTTTAACTTTGAACTTCAGAAAATTGAAACTGCTTAAATTTCATGACTGACTTAGAATCATTGGATGACATTAAAGTTTACATCAGAATCAGAAAAGGTATTTTTTTTCTTGAAGTGTACCTTAAAGACATTTTAGAGGGAGACATGGGAGCAATATCTATCATTATCACTCACTGTGTTTTAGGATCGAGGCAAATGAGCACAAATTTATCCCTAAGGCAAGAGTAAGCTCTGTGACTTCTCTGGCCCTGAGAAGCAAAGAAGCCATGGATGAATTTACTAACTATGGTGCAAAGTCTCCTAGACTCTCAGGAATAGCTACAGATTGCTTTAACTTTGTTTTTAAAAGACAAGTTCTGCTTCACTCCCAAATATCTGGAGGTTACAACTGTAATAATCATGTAATTTTTTTTTTTCTGGGTCATTCTTCCTGTGGCTGTTCTAAAGGTTTGATAGCTCCCTTATTTCCATCCCTGTAAGAACTTTCAGGTTGTATACAGTGTGGGGAATATTGGCTGTATACATACATAGCAAAATAAAATGAAAAGATAAGAGTATAGAGAGTTTGCATAAAATGAATCCTAGAAAGATGCAGATTGGTAACGGTGTGCTTTTATTGGCTTACTCTTCCACATAAACATCAGAAGTAAGTGGAGGTGCCTAATCAACTGGTCACACTAAGTATGAATACATTTTAATACCTTAACATATAGAGAAACTAGAAGATGACACAAGGCAAGATAGAAGAATATTTACAATTGGTGAGTGGTGAGGTATATGAACAAATATAACTCACAAAATATATAAAAAAATACTTACAGAAAGGGGATCTAGTAATGTGCAAGCTCTGATCATTTGGAACTCTCCATTCTCCTCCAAATACAGAGCAAAGATATAAATGCCCTTGGGACACCACCTCCTCCTCTTAAAACAAAAGCAAAAACAAAAAATGATGTTTCTATTAACCAGAAATCAAACAAATATTCAAAGTAAAAAGAGGTTGATATTGCTAGCAACCTGGATTCTAGTTGAGGAATGAGAAGTCTGTAGAGTAACAGTGGGCAGTATCACTAGCCTAAGTTGGGAACTAAAACCAGTCTCACTTTTAAAAATTGAGGTGGGACAAGGCAATCCTACCTGTACACTCTATCTGGGCCATAGTTTATGCTAAAATTTTACTGTTGGGGATTTAGAAGCACACACAGTTTCATAGCCTGTATCATACTCAAACCACCAGCTAGATCGGTACACTGCCCCCAAAGTCAACATCATGAAGGACGACTGAGCTGTGAATATCTGAGTTGTGAATATAGAAAGTATTTTTGATCAGAGATCTTGAGTATCTAAGTAAAACAACCACAAAACCAACTGAAGAGGGGAATAAATGGAGGTGGGGGATGGTCGGAGGAAAGGAGAGAGAGAGAGAACAAGGGTGTGCTGACAAACTGGAAACCAAAGTACATGAAGAAAAAAACCTGTGTATTGCCAGAAACGGCTAGCCCTCCTGTAAGTGCTTACTTTCCTTTCCAAGATTGAGTCCCCATGACTGTGTGTTGAAAGCAGCGACTGAACCAGGGTCCCCCTTCCCAGGTTCCTGTACATCTATTTGTGACCTCATATGACTTATTTTCCCAATTGCAATGTGAAGATAACTCTTTACAAATTAAAGATTCTAAGTTGTGAATCTACTTTTTCCACACGTCTCTTTCCCCTTCTGTCTTCTGGATATAGAAAATGATGAGGCTTTTATATTAGGAGCTAGTACTTAGGACGGAAAGAAGTCAGGTCATCTACCGACAAAGCAGCCATTTTGTACTGTTATATGAACAAAAAGGTGTTTCTGAAATGTTATAAATGAAGGAATATTTACTAAAACAACTAGTATTACTCTAAAATATAATAATAACTTGTAGCCCAAGAAACTCAGAAAGGGGATTCATTTCCTGTAGATAAATAAATACACTAAGTGTGTTTAATTACTTCAGACATAAAAATATGATAGCATCCACATAACTTTCATTAAGTTATCAAAGTATATAAGAGAAAAATGAAAGATGAAGTAAATTATAAAAAGCTATTTAACATGCTTAAGATAAAATACGTAATGATTGAAGTAAAAACAAACTAGGTGTTACACACTATAGACTGTACAGATTCTTAGGACATTTTAATCAATTAGAATTTAGAACTAATAACTCCATGAGAACTTCACAGAGTCAGGAAGACGAAAAACATAAAAAAGCTGTTAAAAAACATGTGTACAGTATTAAGAGCCATCGCTATGTTCTTAATTATTATTTCAAATATAATTTAAAAATGGTGGAAAAAATTGAGCTAAAAATAATGAAAATTTGTTCTAATTTAAAAAAAAAGACATGCATCTTTATCTTAAAAGTTGACACAAACTGTTGAATAGGATAAATAAAATAAATCCACCCCAAACAAAACCTAATAAAACTGAAAATATCAGCTATAAAGAGAAAATCTCAAAGGATAGCTACAAAAGAATGGCATTGAGATCGAGGTCCTTCCTCTCAGCAATACAAGAAGGGAAATAAGATGGAATGAAGACTTTAAGAAATTAAATAAAAAGGACTATTTTTTTACAAGTCTATCATAGGTTAAACTCTTATTCAAGATTGTCAGTGAAGTGAGAATATTCCAATAATACAGAGACCATATTTTACTAACATTGAATTTCCTTTAAAGAATTGCAAACAAAAATCATAAAATAATAATAATAATGCCCATTATAAATATTACTAAAATATCCTGGGTTACCTGTTCAAATATTGTCTATAATCATTATAGCTCATCATTGTGATTTAAAAAGTGAAAATAAGATTCTTGCCCACAATATCAAAGTTGATTGAAACCAGGTGTCTAATTGTTAGTTATATATTTTAAATTTATTTTTGTTTTTAAAAGAAGCCTAGAAATATGAATAATTGCATTGTAATGAGATTTCTGTGCCAATTAAATTGATAAAAATAATTTAAAGTCATAATAAAATTAGAGATCAGTACATTATAGTAAATATCTAAAAGAATGCTGACAGGGCTATAACTTGAGACTATTTTACTTTTTTTCTAAAAGTGAGTTTTTCACCTGAAAATAATTTGGCAAGATATATCAAGATTCTGATAATCAACATACATATCTGGTTCAACAATTTCATTTTATTAGTCTAAAATTTAAAGATACATGCTGTGGTTGGAAATAAATTAATTATACATACATTCATTTCTGCCATTTCTATCAATTTTCAAATTTAGGCATATTTGTGTGTGTATAACTGTATCACTGTAGTATAATATACTAATCGGCTATTAACATAAAAAAGTGTTACACAATGTAAATGTATACATTTACATAAAGTGGAAATATGCATTACCTTTTTAGTATTTTATAAAATATTTATATTGATACTCCAGTTATTTTTAAAATTTAACTTTAAGATTAAGTGAGTAATATTTTTCAAAATAATTGGGAATGTCATATAATTGAACATATGACATTCAAATACTGTTTAAGAGTCAAAATTATTTCTGAGAGATAAAGAAATTATTATATAGCAAATATAAAAACAAAGGTGCTTAATTTGAACCAATCCCCTTCTTTCCAACTATTACAACCGTCAAATATATATGCCATGAGATAAATATAATTTATTGAAATTGACTGAAGGATACAATTGGCCTGAGAATTCTTGGGTTTTGCATTCATGGATTTAATCACCCATGAAATCAAAAGTATTTGGGAAAAAAATTCTTCAAATTCTCAAAAGCAAATCTTGAATTTGCCCACGCAGAGGACTACATCGAATTCATATAAATGAAGCAATGTGTAGGCATCATATTAGGCATTGTAAGTCATCTAGAGATGATTCGAAGTATATGGGAGGATGTACAAGATAATATGCAAATACTATGCCATTTTATATAGGTGACTTGAGTATTTGTGGATTTTGATATCCATGAATATCCTGGAATCAATTCGTTACGAATATCAAGGAATTACTATATCAGTATCTCTGGCTTTTTTTTTTTTAGTAATTTTTGTGTCTAAAGTCAATATTATCTTTTGTTGATAAGGAAAGAAAGTCACATACAATAGATTTTTACTGACAGTTTCTTACCTTTAGCCCAGGCAGTGATGACTAGAATATTTATTAGATCATCAACCTGTAGTCATCTCTGTTTATGAGTCCTAGGCCAGTGTTTGTTAAATACACCATGCTACTAGTCGTAAAACCATCAGTTTCTTAAATGAATAGGCAGCACACCTTTGAAAACAGGTTGAGAAGCTAATGAACTCCGTTGCAAGTACTAGCAAAGAACTTGTAGCAGAATTACACAAATCAATAAATATTTAACATGTTGGCTTGAACACTCAATTGCTTTTAATTTGAAAATATTACTTGTAAGGAGCAATTTCTTCTAAAATTTTCAAAAATGCTTGCTATTATCTGTTAGCTTTTATACACATGTGTTTCAACACATAGATATTTTAACTTGATACTATTTTAGCAAAATATCAGTTTCTACCCTAGTTTAATGTCACATTGATACATAACATATATAAAATGTTTTATTAATTTATTCCTTCCTTTCCCATTCAAGACTGTACCTTCTTGCTTCTCTGTTTTCTCTCTGTTCAGAAACATACCTACAGCTATACTATAAAATTTTTGTTGAGTAAATTTTTAATATACACTGCTGATTTTAAGGGGTTTCCTCATCAACAGAGCATATCCAATCAAATAGCTGGCCTATGATTACAAAGATGTAGGTGTCCTTAAAGAAATTTTTGCCTGTTCAAAAGCTATCTCTGCCAAAAATTGCAATATGAAAAAGCTGCTTTAAACTGCTTCAAAGTTAGCTATTTCCTTAGTAAAAAATATGCTAAATAATCATTGTGTTCACACCATGTTTTATATTTAAATATTCAAAATGTTTGTTAAACCTATACAGCTATGAGAATTCATTTATTCCTTATTTTTAATCACTATCCTAAGGTTACATTTTTTACACAGTGAAAAAAACTTAATAGTAATTTAATATTCATCCCTAGTGCTAAATCTTGGAATGTATGGGGGTTAATGGATCTGTTCTTTTACTTGCTAAATAAAATGTGTCCCCTTAGATGATGGTTACCATTCCTTAATTAAGAATCCACTAAAGTGCCATCCAAATGTACATAATTTATTCCCTTTATATTATTGGACTGGGAATTTTGCCAATGAATAAAACACCTTATTCTGAGGCAAAATGGAAACTAATATTTTAAAGCTTGATGAGAAATATCATTTCTTGAACTTGTTTTAGTAATAAATTTATAATATAATGAAGAGCAAATCAGGGTAATACCTAATCTGACATTCAGTAAAGGCACTAGCTGAAATCTAAAATGACTACTTCTTAAGGAAAGTTAAAAAAATATATAAAACCCTTTGTGATGGAGAAATTATATGGATATGTGCCTATATATGTATATGTGTGTGTGTTTATTGTGATTGTTGTTGTTTCTTATATGAAATGATTGTTGTTGCTCCTAGCCATCCTTGTCATAACAGAAGGCAAATATATTAGCTTAGTGTTTTTAAATGACAAAAGATTTCAAGCACTTCATAAGAGAATAGCTTTTGAATGAGACAGTAAATAGTAGATGGAATTACTCTTTAAGAGTTCATATAACAAAAAATGGCTCATGTTTGTTTATTTCATTTTTTAGAAAGAAGTATGAAGATTTTAGAAAATACTTCATTGTAAGAAAAATCTTGGAAAGTTTCAGTAAATATCGCTATCTGAGCTACTTAGTGGTCATAGACTATGTCTTAACCATGCCTAATTTCTGAACTGTGATTCTCTAAATCTTTTAAGCTACTCTTATATCTTATTTCTATAAATATCATTGGACTACACTGGTTGATATTTCAAAGAGTAATGGTAATTTAAAAGTAGGCTATATCAAGCTGTTGCATTAAAATCACATTTAAATATTTGTTTTTAGTTTTGGTAAGCTGTTTAATTTGATGGTTCAATTGTTCCTTAAAAGAAATCTTTATTCAGTCAAAGAGTTAAGATTTACAATGAATTTGCTGTATATGTTTTCTCATCATATGTCCAGTAAATAGAGTTGACTGAAATATACAATTATCAACAATATATCCGACATATGTAGCAAGTAAGGATGGAGACAATCACATGGAAAATTCATCTGAAGACTTTTCATTGGTGACTTTTACTTATAATTCAGATAGAAGTTCTGTCTTGGGAACGTAATTTTAAATACTGCAACATTCAGGGCCAATATGAAGATAAGGAAATGTTTTCTTTAAACTGTCTCATCAGCTTAGGTACCTTGTCTATGTTAGTTACCCACTTAGGAATTATTTGCTTAAAATTTTAGCACCCACATCATAGTTAAAATATCTATTTATTTGATCCCATATTTCACAAATAATCCGCAGGTGATTTGTACATAGCTTTAACTTCTTACTACCTTGACACTTTGGTCATATCTATGTGTGTTTTCCATTGTTTTGCTGCTGAGTGATCATCAAAAGTGAAAGAATATAATTTTCAATGTATTGTTTCTTAAATTGTAATGTAGACATATTCTTCAGAATCTATGAGATTATATGTCTAATAAATGTTACCTAAAGGTTGTTAGACATAGGATAAATTTATGGGAATTATTTTACCTTGCTGACTCAGTTTTGCACTTGCCAACTCTCACAAAACTTCACATTGTATTGAATGTATTCATGTTGAATAATTAATACAATGGATTACTAATTATTCATTAGAAAAACTAATGGGGCAAATACAAAAGGACAAAGTGAATACATTCCTCCTATTTGCCGTTGAAAATGCAACAGTGACCATTCTTTTGAGTCCTGGGAATCTAAGACACTGTCTTATATTAGCAGTGTCTTATAAAACTGAATTCACAGCAATAAAATCTTTCTTATCCTCATTTAGATTAATTCTGTAATTCTAAGTATATGTGAGCAAAGAGAAAAATTATGGAATATAAAATGGAAATATGACTTCTTTGTAGTGGAGAAGAGGCTGTATGACTGAAGATTACCAGAAATTGAAAGGCTAGAGTCCCAATATTCCTGAGGTAGTATTTGTTCACAACCTACCAATTAGATTATAAAAGGCATATATTGGTTTTTCTATTGAAATTTGTTCCTTTCTATCCGAAATTCATGTTTCAATTATTTTAAAATTAGGATGCAAAAACATTCTTATGAAGCCAGTTATACTGAACACAGAGGCTACAAAGCAGTATTTTATAAAAAAGAAAATGTCATGTTTGACATGACAGCAAGCTTTCTTTTAAACATATTGCCTTCCATTTTAGATTTTCTTTTTCTAAAATGCTGTATATAGTAACACCAAATATATTTTTTAATTAAAAATTTCATGTAGCTGTATTTACGTGTGTTAGGAGGAGAGCCTCTTTACCAGTCCTAATGTTTTCTTCCATGCAGAGCAGCATCCAACAAGGTAACACTTAGGTCTTCTTTTCACCTTCACCCTCTTTCTCTGGCAGAAGAAATTAACTGCCTTAATGGAGTATTTGGAAGAGAAATTGGCAAGTCTCTTGCTAAATCTATGCAGCTAGATCTAGGTTTAAACCTAAACTTTATGTCTATCTGCAGTTAGGCTACTCTCTGGGACACATGTTTTTCTTTCTTAGTCTACATTGTAGCTTTTACACAGACAGGCTCTACTGCAGAAAGAGGTAAAGGTCTAGTACAGCCCTGATCAAGAGGATAAGTCTATCCAATTATAGAGTGCGGTATCAAAGCCCTGTTGCCAAACACCCAAGCTAATATTTTCTAATATTAACCACAGCAACAATAGTTATTTCTCTATCTGCTTTTGTTTTTTCCTTCATTTGGTTCAGAACTTTCAGGGGGGCTGGTATTAATTTGGGAGGGGGGGCATCTGAAAATGATCTAAATATGTAACCCTAGTATACATCATAATACTGTTAGTTAAGCATTGCAGTAGCTAGCACTTACTCAGCAGATTAGCTTAGGTAAAAACACGTGGAATTCAATGACTTCATAAAAGATCTGTAAGCCAGTTAGAAATGTGTATAACATAAATAGATGATTAGAATTACAAAATTGATCACAATCTCTTCTGGTCTCATCTCTTTCCATATCTCCTCTCTGATTTCCTTGTGTTTTTACTTCATTTTCTCAGGGCAGTTTTCTTTACATAACTGAAGCTATGGTTGCAAACACATATGTGCTTCTGTTTCTAAGAGTGTCCTAGAGAGAAAAAAGAGGTTTTCCTTATCTGCTCTTCATAGAAAACAGAACAAACATAGAAGCAAAATATATGAAAACAGTTTCTTATTGCTCTGGCTTAAGAACTACATATTTATTCCTTGAACAATCTCTGTGAACAAGAATGGCAAACAGAATTGATTTGGCCTGAGTCATATGTAACACTACTCTGTGACTAAGGATTTAGTCTTTTACTACAGAAAAGGGAGAAAAATAATGTAGAATAGGTGTCAGTCATGATTTAATATCCCAAAAGACAAAAACAAAGCAGTTCGAGTTGTATCTAGAGAAAATGTGTCTGGTAATGACAGTGTGCAATTCAAAAATGAATGCAATAAACCTCTGAACACTACAGAGTATATGCAGGGATATATAAGGTAAATATTTATGTCAATGTTATGACACTTAGTAGGTATCTCTTTTTCTCTCCGTTAATGATATTAAAGTAGCACTAGAGAAACAATATATGCCAAAGGTGTAAATGACAAAATGAACTACATAGCCACGTCGAATCATAGCTATTTAAGGTATTCAGATATTTTTCTGGTAGCACAAAATAAGCTTTGGGACGGATGCATCTCGTAGGGGTGCAGTCCCTATGGGTAAGTGTATTAGTTTCTTTTTGTATTAATGAGCATGATAAATTTGTTTCTCTAATTATGTGTGACTGTGTAAGAATCAAATAGCATCAGCAAATTATAAAATTTAATAAAAGTATTTTATATTTTCTATTCTCATTATTCTAAGGAAAGCAAAGGCTGTGTGAAAATACACGGGACTATTCTTCCAACAGGGTAGCAGCATTATTTATAACCACATTATTTGTAACCTTGGGCTCAGGAACGTTTGTAGGTTGTGTTTGATCAAGAATAGCAATGAAAGATTTTTGGATATGATAATAATTCCCAGTATGGCTCACTTTCATATTGAGATGGTTAAGTAACTTAATAGATGTTAATTTTATTTTTGCATTTTGAAATGTTTAAATAAGCAATGTTTTGGGGATACTACAGAAAAAAATCATTTAGACTAGTTTCATTTAAAATAAATATTATTTGAACAAAATGTAAAATCCAGCTGTGCTCTCTCGTATGAAAAATAATAAAACAAATAAGACTTTTAAACTAGAATTGCAACAAGTATGCTTAAAATACATCAGAAAAGTTGCATTTAAAAATACCAAATTATATGTAAGTGGTTTATTAATATATAAGTCATATATTCCTTTGTAAAGCTCTATTTGCCAAAATATTACTAGCAAATTCATGGAAATATACATTTTTAAATTAAATAGTGAAATATGTTAATGTAACATACAAATATAATTCTTACTTATTTAGATGGTGCTGTGTTCCAGTGAGACTGAATGAGCTAAAATTGCTAATTTGTCACTGTAATTTTCTTTAACATGCTAACAGCTTATAAAATGTAAAAAATACTCTCCTTTTTTTTATTTTGAGGCTAGATTTGGGAAAAGTATAAACATTATCTTCAATTATCACAATCATCAATTTATAGCTAAATAGGCCATATGATTATGGAGGTCCTGGTCCAGCCTGCCACAAAACAGATCTCTCAGAAGGGTTAAAGAAGAGAGATGAAATGAATTCTCAAAGAAGGATTGCAACAAGTTTTCTAGCCTAAATGTTGTCCTGTCTTTTATATCAGAACCTGATTTTCAACCACCTCTAAAAATATACTATCATTTTACATCTTTGGAAACTGAGACACGGACAAATTAAATAACATTTTCCAGTGAGTGGTAAATTTATAACACAAAACTAGGGTTATCTGGTTCTCAAAAGAATGAAGTCTATTTCTTTTTCTTCTTCTTTTTTTTATTTCTTCTCATTTTTGAGATGGAGTTTCGCCCTTGTTGCCCAGGCTGGAGTGCAATGGTGCCATCTCAGCTCACCACAACCTCTGCCTCCCAGGTTCAAGTGATTCTCCTGCCTCAGCCTCCCAAGTAGCTGGGATTACAGGCATACGCCACCACGCCCGGCTAATTTTGTATTTTTAGTAGAAATGGTGTTTCTCCATGTTGGTCAGGTTGGTCTCAAACTCATGACCTCAGGTGATCCGCCTGCCTCAGCCTCCCAAAATGAATGAAAGCTATTCCTATAGTGTGATATCAGTAGGTCTAGTTAAGTAAGGCATAAAACGTTATCAGACATGGTGAGAGAGTATAATCAATTTTAGGGAGAAACAGAGACATAAGAATATGGAAAACGCAAGTGAGAAACAGAAAACATCAGAATTTGGAAAAGGCAACAAGTAAGTCGTTAGCCTCTAGTTACTTGTGGAGAAGAAACAAGATAAAAGGCAGTTAGGGCTCAGTAACAGAATTCAGATATAGAAGAATATAAAGAACTGAACAATAACTCCTAAGTCAGTAATATTTCTAATTCATCCTGTGCTAGTCTTTCTTCTTCTATTTTTAATAAATGAATCAATGCATGTTGGAAATATGTAAAATGACATATTAAATATCTATCATATTATTCTGTATGGAGACAGTAGATGAGTGAATATCAATTACATGTAAAGATTTACATTGTCAGTAAGCTAGCAGGGTTACAAAGAAGGTAAGCTAAACCATTTTTAGTCATTGCAATGATTTGTATTCTGCAATTTTTGCCAAAATAACTTTTCTTCATTTCATAATTGGCAACTTATTACACAAATTCAAATTCAAGTTTCAAACATACCATCTTGTTACAGCTACCAAACTTCAAACTTTATAATGTTCAGTTTATGGGCTAAAAAGAATATCCTGATGGGATTTTGTTTTGTTCAGGAATTAGTTGAACGGGGCCACCAAGCAGGGAAATACTTAGTGCTTTAATTTTTATAAAAAGGCTAAGAAAGGATGGTGGATTATCTGCGTGATTATAAATAAATTTAGCCATATTGTAAAGTAGCTCAGAATGATCCTGAGAATTCAAAATGTAAAAGATATTAAAAGTAATGCTAGACAATTCGTTTCAAGATTTACTCAGAAATTATTATAACATATTGTGATATAATGTCATGTGTACAATTTTGCATTAATGGAATATAATTTCTATGGGGAAACTATGAAAGGCAGTCCATGAGCAAATAATACATTTTATACTTTAATGGTAATTGATTTTCTAAAGATCTGTAGTGGAATTCAATTGGACTTAGTGGGTTCAATTTTATTTGAGTAGTTTTTAAAAGTTTATTATAGTCCAGGAAGAATTCCAAGTCCCATGGGCACTAAGTCAAAGAAGAAACTCTGATCTTAAGAAATTCAAGAGTTAAGCAGTTAAAATTATACAAATGTGTAAATAAGTATATAAAACATGCATATATATATTCTATCAGAATTTTCTCTCACTGTAAAATAAAAGAAGAAAGTAAATTTGTTTGCTATCTCTTATACATTTTTGCATCTGGCAATTAATCACGTAAGTGAATCAATTGGGTGTTCATTAAATTCTGAAAGGGGAGGAACAGAAAAAGGGAGATGAGAAGGGGTGGGAGGAAAAGGGGACAGAGAGATGGTCAGATAAAGGGAAAAGGGAGAGGAGAAGCTAAATATGTGATTCTGTGACATCTTTGTATTTCTGGATATGAGAATCATGCGTAATGTAAAATTAATTTCCTTTTTTTGTTAAACTATAAATGTGAAGGTTAGTCTTAAATGTGGATTTCAAAGAAAAGCACTTTATGCCTAGGAATTTAATTTCTTGTAAAGATTAATCACTACTGTGAAAGTTGTCAGAATCAAAATGGAGTCACTACTGTTAAAAAAAAAAAAAAAAATTCCCTGCCAAATAAAGGCAGGGAAGGCCATGAAGAGAAAGTTCTCATGCCTGTATGCCTGATAACAAAACCTATCACAATGGCCTCTGCAAAAACCACAGCTTTGCACAAAGACCATCACGAACTTACACACAAAATTCTTCTGCAAGGACATCTGCCCAGCAACTCCCTGTTCATACTGGAACTGGAATCATTCTTGTTATTTATCTTTGCAGCCATGGATAATTATCTCAAAACAATTATGTAATTATCCTTGTTTTTTTCTTTAAAAACCTTTTTCTTCTTTCACCTTTCTGAATATGCACATAAATTTACTGCGGCACATGTATTCTCATGTCAATGCTCTAGTCCCAAATAACTACCTTTTTCTTTTAAAGAGACTTTTTCTGTTATGTAGGTTGACACACCCTGACTTCCCAAAAGTTATGTGGCAGCAGGTAAATCCACTGGCAGGAAAACATCAAATTCATACAGCTGTGTACCTAACGGCATCCCCTGCATATGTGAAGATTCATTTTCTCATTTCTAATATGCACGTGGTTACAGATTGCTTTTCACATAAATATGTGAAATGTTGTGTGACATGTGAACACTTTCCCATCTGGATGATTGTTCATAAAACTCATTTTCTATGATTTAATAAACCTAGGAACCCACAAGCAAGAACAGCTTTAGCCCTAGTATTTCAATGTTTGTAGGTGTTACAATCACTTGTATGTTCCATAACACGTTCCTACTTTTATCAACTATTAATTTGTGCTTAAAAGGTAATAAACCTAGCACTCTGACCCTTGGCTGTCATTAATGGCAACATAAATTAGACGATTACATGCTTTAATATTTTTCAAACCCTTCTATTCTACTTCTCCCCAAACCCCACCTTTCATAAAAATTTACTGGTTTAGAAGAGCTGAATGTCTCGGAAAAAATTGATTATGTAGTTTAGCAGAAGCTGTTGCTGGCACTGCATAAAATAAAGCATAGATTATATGATTCAAATGTACCAAAACAAATGACATTTTTGGAATGAAATTAGAATTGTATTGCTTTCTCTGATCATTTTGGAAACCACTTTGTAATAAAAGATTATTACCATTCATGCATGTGCTGTAGAATCTCTCCAAATGCAGACTCCAGACTGGAAATTGTCCACCAGAACCTACTCAGAAAAAATTAGTAAATAAATAAACAAACAAACTTTTCTGGAACATATTAACAAAAATATTTCACAGAGATAACTTGAGAAAACAAATCTTTTCATTTTTATAAATGAAATAAGTGAATAATCTACTCTCCCTATACCAATATTCTGACTTTGAAATATATAGGGTCCCATGTTCCTCTAAATTTTACAATAATTTTAGAATTATGTGGTGTAGAAACTTATCTCCTTGGCAAAATTAATAACGGGCTTTATTTAAACCACTAATATTCAATTACATTGTAATTATAATTCTCTATTATTTTACAGGATAATTAATTTAATAAAATAAACACAGTTTAACAGGAAAACTGAACTGCAAGGAAATCTATATGTATAAATAGGATGAACTCAGCGAAAACTACCAATACATCTTAATTCTAATAAAGATAAGTAATACGGAAGAGAATAGATTAAACAGTTATATATAGTATATCTTGACATTAATTGAAGTTCCCCTCTCTTGATTTGTATTTGTTTTTTTCTCATCAATTATATTACAAAGATTATCTAGATAAAATTCAAGAGATACATCTACCTTCCTGATTTTCAGACTCACTTGCTAATTATAAAGATAATATTAAAATGAAACTAGAATTCTACTTTTCAATATGATGGCTGTTAACCACATGTGACTAATGAGAAGTTGGAATATGGGTAGTCTGAAATGAGATGTGCTATAAGCATTGAATACACCAAATACACTGAAAAATATACACTGAATTCTGAAGACAGTTTGGACAAAAAAGCATGTAGTACATCCCATTAATTCTTTTCAAATATTGATTATATGTTGATGTAATGCTTTAGAGACACAGGTTTAAATAAAATATATAATTAAAATACATTTAACCTCTGTTTACTTTTTTAATGTGACTACTAGAAAATTAAAATATCAGGGAGCCAAGATGGCCGAGTAGGAACAGCTCCGGTCTACAGCTCCCAGCGTGAGCGACGCAGAAGACGGGTGATTTCTGCATTTCCATCTGAGGTACCGGGTTCATCTCACTAGGGAGTGCCAGACAGTGGGCGCAGGTCAGTGGGTGCACTCATCGTGTGCGAGCCGAAGCAGGGTGAGGCATTGCCTCACTTGGGAGCGCAAGGGGTCAGGGAGTTCCCTTTCCGAGTCAAAGAAAGGGGTGACGGACGCACCTGGAAAATCAGGTCAATCCCACCCGAATACTGCGCTTTTCCGACCAGCTTAAACAATGTCGCACCACGAGATTATATCCTGCACCTGGCTGGGAGGGTCCTACGCCCATGGAGTCTCGCTGATTGCTAGCACAGCAGTCTGAGATTAAACTGCAAGGCGGCAGCGAGGCTGGGGGAGGGGCGCCTGCCATTGCCCAGGCTTGCTTAGGTAAACAAAGCAGCCGGGAAGCTCGAACTGGGTGGAGCCCACCACGGCTCAAGGAGGCCTGCCTGCCTCTCTAGGCTCCACCTCTGGGGTCAGGGCACAGACAAACAAAAAGATAGCAGTAACCTCTGCAGACTTAAATGTCCCTGTCTGACAGCTTTGAAGAGAGCAGTGGTTCTCCCAGCACGCAGCTGGAGATCTGAGAACGGGCAGACTGCCTCCTCAAGTGGGTCCCTGACCCCTGACCCCCGACCCCCGAGCAGCCTAACTGGGAGGCACCCCCCAGCAGGGGCACACTGACACCTCACACGGCAGAGTATTCCAACAGACCTGCAGCTGAGGGTCCTGTCTGTTAGAAGGAAAACTAACAAACAGAAAGGACATATTTCTTATATGGGACTATGTGAAAAGACCAAATCTACGTCTGATTGGTGTACCTGAAAGTGATGGGGAGAATGGAACCAAGTTGGAAAACACTCTGCAGGATATTATCCAGGAGAACTTCCCCAATCTAGCAAGGCAGGCCAACGTTCAGATTCAGGAAATACAGAGAACGCCACAAAGATACTCCTCGAGAAGAGCAACTCCAAGACACATAATTGTCAGATTCACCAAAGTTGAAATGAAGGAAAAAATGTTAAGGGCAGCCAGAGAGAAAGGTCGGGTTACCCTCAAAGGGAAGCCCATCAGACTAACAGCGGATCTCTCAGCAGAAACCCTACAAGCCAGAAGAGAGTGGGGGCCAATATTCAACATTCTTAAAGAAAAGAATTTTCAACCCAGAATTTCATATCCAGCCAAACTAAGCTTCATAAGCGAAGGAGAAATAAAATACTTTACAGACAAGCAAATGCTGAGAGATTTTGTCACCAGCAGGCCTGCCCTAAAAGAGCTCCTGAAGGAAGCACTAAACATGGAAAGGAACAACTGGTACCAGCTGCTGCAAAATCATGCCAAAATGTAAAGACCATATAGGAAGAAACTGCATCAACTAACGAGCAAAATAACCAGCTAACATCACAATGACAGGAGCAAATTCACACATAACAATATTAACTTTAAATGTAAATGGACTAAATGCTCAAATTAAAAGACACAGACTGACAAATTGGATAAAGAGTCAAGACCCATCAGTGTGCTGTATTCAGGAAACCCATCTCACATGCAGAGACACACATAGGCTCAAAATAAAAGGATGGAGGAAGATCTACCATGCAAATGGAAAACAAAAAAAGGCAGGGGTTGCAATCCTAGTCTCTGATAAAACAGACTTTCAACCAACAAAGATCAAAAGAGACAAAGAAGGCCATTACATAATGGTAAAGGGATCAATTCAACAAGAAGAGCTAACTATCCTAAATATATATGCACCCAATACAGGAGCACCCAGATTCATAAAGCAAGTGCTTAGTGACCTACAAAGAGACTTAGACTCCCACACATTAATAATGGAAGACTATAACACCCCACTGTCAACATTAGACAGATCAACGAGACAGAAAGTCAACAAGGATACCCAGGAATTGAACTCAGCTCTGCACCAAGTGGACCTAATAGACATCTACAGAACTCTCCACCCCAAATCAACAGAATATACATTTTTTTCAGCACCACACCACACCTATTCCAAAATTGACCACATACTTGGAAGTAAAGCTCTCCTCAGCAAATGTAAAAGAACAGAGATTATAACAAACTATCTCTCAGACCACAGTGCAATCAAACTAGAACTCAGGATTAAGAATCTCACTCAAAACCACTCAACTACATGGAAACTGAACAAACTGCTCCTGAATGACTACTGGATACATAACGAAATGAAGGCAGAAATAAAGATGTTCTTTGAAACCAACGAGAACAAAGACACAACATACCAGAATCTCTGGGACGCATTCAAAGTAGTGTGTAGAGGAAAATTTATAGCACTAAATGCCCACAAGAGAAAGCAGGAAAGATCCAAAATTGACACCCTAACATCACAATTAAAAGAACTAGAAAAGCAAGAGCAAACACATTCAAAAGCTAGCAGAAGGCAAGAAATAACTAAAATCAGAGCAGAACTGAAGGAAATAGAGACACAAAAAACCCTTCAAAAAATTAATGAATCCAGGAGCTGGTTTTTTGAAAGGATCAACAAAATTGATAGACCGCTAGCAAGACTAATAAAGAAAAAAAGAGAGAAGAATCAAATAGACGCAAAAAAAATGATAAAGGGGATATCACCACCGATCCCACAGAAATACAAACTACCATCAGAGAATACTACAAACACCTCTACGCAAATAAACTAGAAAATCTAGAAGAAATGGATAAGTTCCTCGACACATACACTCTCCCAAGACTAAACCAGGGAGAAGTTGAATCTCTGAATAGACCAATAAGAGGATCTGAAATTGTGGCAATAATCAATAGTTTACCAACCAAAAAGAGTCCAGGACCAGATGAATTCACAGCCAAATTCTACCAGAGGTACAAGGAGGAACTGGTCCCATTCCTTCTGAAACTATTCCAATCAACAGAAAAAGAGGGAATCCTCCCTAACTCATTTTATGAGGCCAGCATCATCCTGATACCAAAGCCGGGCAGAGACAAAATGAACAAAGAGAATTTTAGACCAATATCCTTGATGAACATTGATGCAAAAATCCTCAATAAAATACTGGCAAAACGAATCCAGCAGCACATCAAAAAGCTTATCCACCATGGTCAAGTGGGCTTCATCCCTGGGATGCAAGGCTGGTTCAATATACGCAAATCAATAAATGTAATCCAGCATATAAACAGAGCCAAAGAAAAAAAACCACATGATTATCTCAATAGATGCAGAAAAAGCCTTTGACAAAATTCAACAACCCTTCATGCTAAAAACTTTCAATAAATTAGGTGTTGATGGGATGTATCTCAAAATAATAAGAGCTATCTATGACAAACCCACAGCCAATATCATACTGAATGGGCAAAAACTGGAAGCATTCCCTTTGAAAACTGGCACAAGACAGGGATGCCCTCTCTCACCACTCCTATTCAACATAGTGTTGGAAGGTCTGGCCAGGGCAATTAGGCAAGAGAAGGAAATAAAGGGTATTCAGTTAGGAAAAGAGGAAGTCAAATTGTTCCTGTTTGTAAACGACATGATTGTATATCTACCCCATTGTCTCAGCCCAAAATCTCCTTAAGCTGATAAGCAACTTCAGCAAAGTCTCAGGATACAAAATCAATGTACAAAAATCACAAGCATTCTTATACACCAACAACAGACAAACAGAGAGCCAAATCATGAGTGAACTCCCATTCACAATTGCTTCAAAGAGAATAAAATACCTAGGAATCTAACTTACAAGGGATGTGAAGGACCTCTTCAAGGAGAACTACAAACCACTGCTCAATGAAATAAAAGAGGATGCAAACAAATGGAAGAACATTCCATGCTCACGGGTAGGAAGACTCAATATCGTGAAAATGGCCATACTGCCCAAGGTAATTTACAGATTCAATGCCATCCCCATCAAGCTACCTATGACTTTCTTCACAGAATTGGAAAAAACTACTTTAAAGTTCATATGGAACCAAAAAGAGCCTGCATTGCCAAGTCAATCCTAAGCCAAAAGAACAAAGCTGGAGGCATCATGCTACCTGACTTCAAACTATACTACCAGGCTACAGTAACCAAAACAGCATGGTACTGGTACCAAAACAGAGATATAGATCAATGGAACAGAACAGAGCCCTCAGAAATGATGCCACATATCTACAACCATCTGATCTTTGACAAACCTGAGAAAAACAAGCAATGGGGAAAGGATTCCCTATTTAATAAATGGTGCTGGGAAAACTGGCTAGCCATATGTAGAAAGCTGAAACTGGATCCCTTCCTTACACCTTATACAAAAATCAATTCAAGATGGATTAAAGACTTAAACGATAGACCTAAAACCATAAAAACCCTAGAAGAAAACCTAGGCATTACCATTCAGGACATAGGCATGGGCAAGGACTTCATGTCTAAAACACCAAAAGCAATGGCAACAAAAGACAAAATTGACAAATGGGATCTAATTAAACTAAAGAGCTTCTGCACAGCAAAAGAAACTGCCATCAGAGTGAACAGGCAACCTACAAAATGGGAGAAAATTTTCGCAACCTACTCATCTGACAAAGGGCTAATATCCAGAATCTACAATGAACGCAAAGAGATTTACAAGAAAAAAACAAACAACCCCATCAAAAAGTGGGCGAAGGACATGAACAGACACTTCTCAAAAGAAGACATTTATGCAGCCAAAAAACACATGAAAAAATGTTCATCATCACTGGCCATCAGAGAAATGCAAATCAAAACCACAATGAGATACCATCTCACACCAGTTAGAATGGTAATCATTAAAAAGTTAGGAAACAACAGGTGCTGGAGAGGATGTGGAGAAATAGGAACACTTTTACACTGTTGGTGGGACTGTAAACTAGTTCAACCATTGTGGAAGTCAGTGTGGCAATTCCTCAGGGATCTAGAACTGGAAATACCATTTGACCCAGCCATCCCATTACTGGGTATATACCCAATGGACTATAAATCGTGCTGCTATAAAGATACACGCACACGTATGTTTATGCGGCATTATTCACAATAGCAAAGACTTGGAACCAACCCAAATGTCCAACAATGATAGACTGGATTAAGAAAATGTGGCACATATACACCATGGAATACTATGCAGCCATAAAAATGATGAGTTCATGTCCTTTGTAGGCACATGGATGAAACTGGAAATCATCATTCTCAGTAAACTATCGCAAGAACAAAAAACCAAACACCGCATATTCTCACTCATAGGTGGGAATTGAACAATGAGATCACATGGACACAGGAAGGGGAATATCACACTCTGGGGACTGTGGTGGGGTGGGGGGAGGGGCGAGGGATAGCATTGGGAGATATACCTAATGCTAGACGACGAGTTAGTGGGTGCAGCGCACCAGCATGGCACATGTATACATATGTAACTAACCTGCACATTGTGCACATGTACCCTAAAACTTAAAGTATAATAATAAATAAATAAATAAATAAATAAATAAATAAATAGAAGTTACTGAAAATAAAATAAAATACTCAAAAAAAAAAAAGAAAGAAAATTAAAATATCTCATATATTGGCCGTATGTTTCAATGGACAATACTAAACTAGAGTATTCCTTAAAATCATTATTTATGAATTGAAAAATATACAAATATTTGGCTTTCTATTAGTAACTAATGCCTACATATATACTGATGTATTATCTGTATGTTTTTGTCTTTTTTGCTATGTTTTGATTAAGAGCTAAAATTATGGTAAAGAAAGAAAAAGGATAAACCATCTTGTGTATGTGTGTATTTGTGTGTGACTTGTGTATTTTCTGGTGTGTTTATTTCTGTTGATGTAATATATATTAAAAGGTTTGGGGTTTTATTAGGATACATTGCTTTATATTTGAATTACTGAAACTGAATGAGTCAGAAATAAATACAATTTATCTCCTGTTGATGATTACTTTATCATAGACTAACAGATCCAAAGAAAAAGATTAGAAATACCTAAGAAAGAAGAATACAGTTTATATTTGAAGTCACTGCAAAGCTGTCAAGTCAACCAGGTTTAGTGGGCAAAATCTCAGACAGAAGGCCAGTTCCACGAGGTGAGCTAAAGCATATGCAACAATGATTTGTGTCTTGAGGTATTTCCCAGTCTATAAGCAGCTCATATGAAAGGCTAAGGAATGAAAACTAAGAAACCAAAAAGCCAAGCAGAATATTTGTTGTCTTATATTGGAGACAAACATTGGAGTTCATGGGCTGCCAAGAAGGAAGCATAAAATCTACATTGCCGTTATGACCCAGGAAGTGCTATGCTCTAGAAGCAAGTGAATCAGCAATAGGCCATCCTTTACAAAGCCTTAATCCCAGCCTTGAATACTCTGGCTCTGTTTAGATTAAGATAATGTGACTTTATGTAACTATCTAACAAAAGAGACAGTAAACCTCACTTGAAGAAAAAACAAATTGTTATCAAGAAATTGACATTTCTAGATGACCAGTATTCAAATGAATAGCAAATAAGTGAATAAACAAGCACCAAGTATGACAAAAGATAAGACCAAATATCTGAAAATCGGCAGAAACAAAACTAACAATGTCAGTGTCAAAAGTAAACAACATAAACTTTAAAAGCTGTAATATGTAAAAAAAAAGTTGATTATTTCTACTCATAATAAATATAGAAAAAATAAATTTGTATTTTAAAAATGAAGAGTATAATAAGTAAAATAAAGCACTAGCAATATGGCATACTCAATAGATAATTTATCTATATATTAGACAAAGGAGAATATCAGGTTAATGAACTGGAAAATAGAACACTAGACAATACTCAGACTGTTGATTACATATGGTTAAAAAAGGAGGAGGCACAGAAGAGAGAAGAAAAGAAAGAAAGAAAGAACAGTATGAAGGGCGAAAGGGAGGGAGAGAGCGAGGAAGAAAGAAAACCTCTTAAAAATGTAAGAGACATACGGTACAAAGTGAAAATGTGTAAAATGCATGTCATTGAATGACCAGAGAGAGTAGAGTTTTAAGGAATAGAATTAATATTAGAAGTTATACAAGCTCTCTATATTTTCCAAGATTATGAAAAACATCAAGCCATAAACTAAAAAATTTTTAATTACCCCATGGATAGACAATACATATTTTTAAAGCATACTTAAGTACATTATAGTAAAGTGCATGCTATGGTTTGAATGTTTGTATCCCACTCAAATTCATGTGTTGAAGCCCAAACCCCAAAACAATAGTATTAAAGGGTGGCATATTTAGGAGTTTATTAGGTCATGAGGGTGGAACCTTTTTGAATAAGATTAGTGCCTTTATAAAATAAGTGAAAGCGAGTTTATTTTTCCCTTCCATCATGCAAGAACACAACAAGAAGTCACCATGTGTGAAGCAGACAGATCCTTTACCAAACACTGTATCTGCAGTGCCGTGATCTTGGACTTTCCAGCCTCCTGAATTGTGAGCAATAAATATCTGTTGTTCTTAAGTTACTCTAAGATATTTTGTTACAGTAGTTCGAATATACTAAGAGAGTACAAAAAAAAAAAAGTAAAACACCCAGAAGCAACCGATAAAATTTAAAACAATATAATGAAAATAGCCTGATGCACTAATATAATCATATTTAATACAATATTTTAAAATACACAGAGAACATTTCCCAGAATTGATCAATATGCTGGCCCATAAAGCAAGTCACAACAAATTTCAAGATGGTGTATAGGGCTATATATATTCTACTACTTGAATCCTTTTTCTAAACTCACGTCACAATTCTTTCTGCTTCACAGCCTAAGTTCCAATAATTTGTCCTTTCTGCCTTCTACATTGATATGATTTAGCTGTGTCCCCAACCAAATCTCATCTTAAATTGTAGCTCCCCTAATTCCCACATGTCCTGGGAGGGACCCAGTGGAAGGTAATTGAATCAGAGGGACAAGTCTTTCCCATGCTGTTCTTGTGTTAGTGGAAAGTCTCATGAGATCTGATGGTTTTTTAAAGAGGAGTTCCCCTGCACGTACTCTTTCTTGCCTGCCGCCATGTAAGACATTCCTTTGCTCTTTTTTTATCTTTTGCCATGATTGTGAGGCCTCCCCAGCCATGTGAAACTGTGAGTCCATTAAACCTCTTTTCTTTATAGATTATCCAGTCTCACAGTATGTCTTTATTAGCAGTGTCAGAACAGATTAATACATATATGAAGTTCCCTTTATATTAAAATGTCCTTTCCAATCCCTTCTCTGACCTAATTACTACTAGTCATCTAAAAGTAATCTCAGTTACAGCTTCTTTCAGAAAATATTTTTAATTATTCCTGAGACCTCATCTAAACCAAATTAGGTACCTCACAGTTTTGTGCCCCCAAAGCCTAGGGTCTTCATATATTTTTTGAATTACCTCAGCTTTTCATTCTAATTAACTTATTGCTAGACTGTAAGTTTATAAAGAGATACAGTCAAATTTGTACATATTTAATGAATGCATTAGTTAATCAGTATTCACAGGATGTCTATTTTCTATTGAATTCTAACACTGTATGAATTTTGGCATTGGACAAATGAATTCTAAGAAACTTGTGCTTCCTTACTAGAGATAATCATGCAACAGCTAAAATAATTAAGTCAATATTCTCTACTATGACAAAAGATCTGACTTCTCTACACCAGAAACTCACTAGCATGGAATTCTGGCTATGTCAAGGGAGAAACAAGTAATGATGCATCTACCTGTATTTCTTCTCAATAACTTTGAGTAATCCTAGAAAAGAAAAGATAGTATTCATTATTATTATTATGCATCCTTTTTTTTGCTATAAAATGAGGTCTTCAAAATACGGTTAGTGTTGATACAATGAGAATTTAAAGAACAGGTGTTTTCAGGAATCAATAGATACCTAGAGTTGTTTTGTTTGTTGTAATTTTCCATAATTTTTATCTTATTTGTACTTGTTTACAATTTTATTATTTCCAAAGTTTCACCACAAATCATTTTTCATTTAACCACTTTTTATGTCTTTGTTGATATGTAATTCTTTGGAACTAATTAACTTTTAAAATCCCCTATTCCTAATTGCAAACTCTATAGTAACATATCTACTTATATTTTGATATTGCCATAAATATGTAGTAAACACATTTCAAGGATTTGCATTCAACCACTAAAGTCATTTTATAGCTTTCATAATCCCAAGATGACAAAACAAATAAACAAATAACACATGTGTTGGGCCTTATATATATTTAGAAGGGATTACTATACTTAAAAAGTCATTTTTTAATAAATTGCCCTTTATCACAGGAAGAGGAAAATTGTTCTTATGGATATAATTTACCTCTTGAAGTAAAGATAGAACAATTATCAGATATTTAATTCTGAAAGAAAAATATTGATCTTCAAAACAAACAAAAAATTATAGAAAGTACACCGAAAAGACAGTTCACTAAGAACAAAGTAGGCAGTTTGAGAAATCTGAAAATCCAACAAATACAGGAAAGGATGATCATACTTTTGAGTAACTAGAGAAATACTCAATTTAAATTTATATACTATTTTATAAGAGCTTGTCAAAGTTTATAAAGGTAGATAATATCTAGCATCGGTGAAATTATGGTATAATGGAAAGCTTTATGTACCAAGAATAGTATAAAGTGGTATAAGCATTATGACAAGAAATTTAAAATAACTTAATTAAACTAAGTATTGTATACCCTATCATTCTTTGGTTACATTTCTATGAATATATCTCAGAAATTTCTTTATATATGTTTAAAAAGGAAACACATGGATATGTTAAGGATTGTAGTCAAAATTTAGAGGCCACTCTAAGTGTTCATTATTCTGCCAATAGGTACATATAATGTAGTCTTGTACTGTGGAATATTATGGAACAGTTAAAAACAATATGGGTAGAAATTAAGGACAACGTCAAATTTTAAAAATTTAACAATGGAATGGGATCTGTAATACATAGCGCTTATGCAATCAAATGTATAGCCAGAACAATCTGCATAATATAACATAATACACACATATCCACATATAGCACACGTCAAGCCTATGTTGAAGTAGGTGGTGGTGAAGGAAAGTGAAAAATGTCTTTAAATGAGAAAATGTAAAATAAAGTGGGGTCTTGCAAAAAGCAAGTAAGATAATATGTCACAACTCTTAGTACAATGAAGCTGATTTGAAAGCCTTGGTGGTCCTATTAATTTTTTCATGAGTCAATATGAATAAGAGAGATGGATAATCCTGGAAAGAATGGAGAATACTTCCTCACTTTATTATATCATGAAGTTTGGAGTCACAGGATAGAGAGAAGCTTGGGACCACTGTGGAAGTTGTGGGGTGGGGCTTGCTCTCTAATGACCCAGTATGTTTAAAAAGACCATTTTATTTCAAGTGGTATGTAATTTATATCTTTTTCCCTTCTAATATAAATCTGTTTTACGACATTTTCAGAATTGCAGTTGGTCACAATAGCATTTTAAAATTTCAAAACACATTTGGACACACTGGCTTTCATTTACTGAGAGACGTTTTGGTTTTCCCATTTTCACATTGCGTCATATATTCACAGATTACCTATTTTACTGGAAATTCTATGAAGACAGACTATTAAAAATTATGAATCAGAAGTTAAAAAATAGCCATATAGGGACTCAATCTAGCTTCTTTAAACGTATCCCTGTAAAATGGGAATTATGTTCCATAACTTGACTTTTATTCAAGTAATTGATTTTAAATTACATCTTAAAATGAACGTTTGTAGCTGCTTGGGGATATTCTAATCACTTACTCACATAGAATATTATAGATTTGGTGAAAATTACTATTATATTGTATGTGTATTAAACTTTACTTTTCAAATTATTACTCAGATCTACAGAAAAGATATACATGTACTAAAAAACCCACAATTGGATAATGTTACTTACCTTTAATAATTAATATTTCTTAACAATTCTCAATGTTTCTAAATATAGAACTGTCCTACTTTTGTTTGTTTAAATGCAATATAAATATTTGTTGTGTGATTTCACTTTTATTGATAATTTAGAAAAGTGTATCTTCAGACTATATTACATTAACTTATATTTAGAATTTCCATTTCTCTTATAACCTTTGCTAAATCTTTTGAAGAATAAAATGACTAGAGTATGCAAAGCTATTCCTGTGTTTTTACATTTTGCTCAATAAATTAAAAGAGTATATGGAATGGAAGATTTTAAGATTCGAAAGTTCTTTGTGTTATATAGAAAAAGAATTTAATTGCATTGAAATTTATCTTACATAATTCTATCTCAATAAAATAATTCACAATAGTTATTGTGTCTTAATAAAGACAAAATGTTAATGCATATTCAAATACAGTTTTAAAAGATAACATATTTCCATAAATGCATTCTAAAATGTGTAGCACTTTTATTTTAAAAGCAGTATGTTGTTTTGATCAGGTCTATTGTTGGTGAATTCAGTGGGAATTCAGAATACCACACCTGTTACGTCCTTTAATTACAAATAATGCCTACAGCTACTGCCTTATACTCTACCATCTTCATAGCCATAGGACTCTAAGAGTTGTTTTCATATAAAGCCAGTATTTTGCTACACTCCAGTCCATTTTGTTACACACCTTCTTACTTGGGATCTGCTACTATCACTCAACCAAAATTTCTCCTACAGTCACCATCAATTTCCATACCAAAGTGAAGGGCAACTTTTACATATTTCACTGTACCATACTTTACTAGATTTCATGGCAGCATTTATTTCTTTCATTAGTAATACATTTTTTATTTCTTGTATGATATAGCTCCTCATGCACTTTCTCTTTTCTCCTTCTGCCAATTCTTTCTTCTCTCTCTCTCTCTACCCCTCCCCCTTCTTGTTTCTTCTTTCTTGGTGTCCTTTTCCACTTGCTCCCTCTTTAATAGTCATGTAGTTTTGGAGTAACTTAGGACTCAAGCTGGAGCCCTTTTTGCTCCCAGTCTTTCCATAGTTGCACAATGCAGTTCTGTAATTAAATTTCAAGTGCTTGATAGTTATGAAATGTAATATACGTGTGTGTGAAATATATAGTGTTTTCATTCTTTATTATTATTATTTTTTATTTTTAGAAATGAGGTCTCACTTCCCTGGGCTGGAGTGCAGTTGCATGATTATAGCTCACTGAAGCCTCAAACTCCTGGGCTCACGTATCCCTCCTGCCTCAGCCTCCCAAATAACTGGGACTACAGGTGCACACCACCGTGCCTGGCTACTTTATTTTTATTTTTTATTGTTAGTAGAGACAGGGTTTGCTTTGTTGTCCAAGCTGGTCTCAGACTCCTGGCTTCAAGCGATTCTCCTGTCTTGGCCTCTCAAAGCGTTGGGATTACAGGCATGAGGCACAGTTCCCAGTCATAAAATTTAGTTTTTAAATAGACAATTTTACTTTTTAACTCTGGTTTCAAAGAGTAACACTATGGAAAGAATAGCAACTTCCTTCCAGCACTTTATCACAACCTTGTCTCTTGATGTTTGACAAGAGACATTTCTTGTCTCCTGATATATCTTTGAGGTCTCACAAAGCTCTCTAATGTACCCTTTCAAAAACTGAATTATATATTTGTTTCTTTTTATCCCCTTGTTTTTTACCTTGTTTTTTAGGAAGATCTTCTTCTTCTTTGCTGGAATTAGTGTTCTCAGGAGTCTATCTTGTTTTACTTTTTCTTTTCTTACAGACTGTGACTTATAATCTGCTTACGACACATAATGACTAAATTATCCATTCAGCCTTATATTCAGCAGTTTGTACTTTTTTCACCATAGTAATTGCATCACTTGTCATCTAAATACACACACATTCATTTAATAAAATACACACATACATGTATCTATTTATAATGTCTTCAAAAGAACTGTAACATAAGAATTGCAACTGATTTATTTATTATTTTTACCTCCATTTCTTACATCGTATGTGACATACATTTCAATATCATTATACACTTGGAAATAGATGAATTGCAGGATTTAAACTCTTGAAGACAAGGGTTTTCCTTTTTTTGGCTAACTCTGAACTGAGTTTTTTTCCACATTTTATTTTCTTCAGAATTCATAATATTCTAATTTGTTTGTAATAATTTCTATACATTATTTCTCACCTATATGTTATGTTCTGTATATTATGTTTTTAAAACTTTGCATACAGAACATAACAGATAGAAAATATTAAATATAAATGTTTTGAATTAATGAATAAAAGACTATAGTAAACATGTTATCATCACTGAAAAATAAATGCATCTGTCTTACAATGTTTTGAAGGACATTTCATTATCTGCCTACACATTAAGAATGTCACCTATTCATATAATAAAAGATAATTTTCCTAATAAACCATAATTTTCTGTTACTTTAATATGTATTTTTATGGGAAATATTTCCAGATAATTCCTTAGACATATAAATGATCTTTACGATAAACTAAAGCATTATAATTTTGAATTGTGCAAATAATTCCATTCAAATTATAACTAAGCACATTTCTGGAACATGTTTCTGTCACTAGGACTGTGTTTTTAATAAAGGATAGAACTTTAATTTTGAAGAAAATCTCTCCCCGTGCTTATCTTGCATCTGAATCAGCCTATTTAACAGCATGAACTTTCTCGAGAATAAGATTTATTGTACTTTAGAAAGAAAAATGCATGCCTGTATTTCACTGACACCAAAACTCAGGAGCTAAGCATATTAGTGTTTTCCCTAAGCTCTGAACACTTGTGTAAGTTTGCTAAAAGAGAATCTCTTCCATATTTTGTTTTATCCCATTTACATACAGTGCTAACATTTCATCTCATCATTTTCTTTCCACTTGCTCCAGACAATAAAAAAGGGTTATCCTTAGCCCATTGCACTATTGTGATTCCTGTTGTCCAAACTATATTATATTTCACTTCTTTCTCAAGGCGAGGCAAGGAAGGCGAAAAGGGTATGCAAACAGTGAGTAGAGGCTTGTCTATGATATTGAAAGAATAAGTACACAATAGCCAACTTAATTTTAAATACATATATCCATAAATGTATTTTAATAGTTACGTATTAAACATTTTGATAAAATAAATGTGTTGATTATCCAATTCACTGAAATTGTCAATTGACATAAAAATGGTTAACTTTATAAAGCAGGCAGCAGGTAGCATTTTATTTGATGAAATAATAGCTATATTTTTAAAAAGTTCTTTGACATTGATATTGATTTTCATTTTGTGTTCCTGACTTATTGTAGGCAATGTTTAACTGAGGAAACCTATGTGTGTGTGTGTGTGTGTGTGTGTGTGTGTGTATGTACACATATATATGTGTATATATATATATAACTTGTTCTAATAAACTTAGATTTTATTTGGATATTAACAATTTTCATGTTTTACTTTGTTCATATATGTTATGTGATTTGATCTTCACCATACTCCTAGAGGTTCAAGACATTTACTTTTACTGCTACCTTAAATCACACAAAGCTAAACCTGAGATCAAAATTTAGCTAAAAACATCTACAAACACGATGGAAAAGGTGCAATAGTTCAATTATTATTGAACTGTCCCACAGAGAATTGCCTGTGTTTCAAAGGTTTACCCTAGCTTTCGTTGGCATTGGCTGACATACAACACATTCCCTTGCTTGGATACAGTACAGTTCTATGGAATTATAAATGTTTATCAAACAATTTTTATATTCTGTTACTGGTTTGATACTGTGTAAACTGCATGTCTTTAAAGTCTCTTAAAAGACATTGTTTTGAAATTCTGATAATTTATAGATATTGTACATAGGGTCCAAAATATTTTTATATATACCCTGCCTTATATCTATTCATAGGCCTGTGAGAAGACTTGGTGCCTATCCTTTAATCTCCCATTCTCTTTATCCTATCCTTCTTTAATCTTCTCTCCTTCTTTAATCTCCCATTGCCCAATATACAACGAGGAGAGAGCAAGACTTTTTATTTCACTCCACAACCAAGCCAAAAAAAAAATAATGATATTAAAAACATTGGTTAGACCTTGTTTTTTAGGAAGATCTTCTTCTTTGCTGGAATAAGCATTCTCAGGAGTCTATCTTGTAATGAAGACATTGGCCCTTTTTTTTCTTTTCCTTTAGGTCAGGCAATATAGAAATGACATAGCTGTGAGAAAAAAGAATATTCCAGCTTTCCTTATTGATTCCTGCCAAGTAACAAAGCAATTTGCTCTAAACATGTGGGCACATATTTCCGTGATCCAGTGCCTCTGGCCCGTCTACATGATTGGGACACCTGGACCAGAATTACTTACATTGTAGTACAAATAAAAAATAGTATTTATATGGTTCAGACTAGTTTTCTAGGGCCTACAATTGGACATGGTGGCAATCCTTGTATCACTATAGAATTTTTTTTTGTAGAAATTTCTTTTTAAGACTTTCTTTCTCATTATTTCATGAGGAGTACTGGTTTAAAAGAACACTCTGTTTTTAAAAAATACGGTCCCTTTGTGAAAAGACATAACATTATCTGGTTTCCTGTATTTACTGTTCACTATCTAACCCAGACCCCAAGAATCATAAATCCTTTAATTCTGTTATTTCACTGTTCTTTATCCTCTAAAGTCTTTGCCCCCTTTTTTACCCAGTTGAAATCCATGATCACACACTTGATTCCCATGGTCTCTCTTGTTTCTTTTTACTTGAATGACAAAACCACACTCTGATTAAATCTAACTCTCCAGCTGTTTTTTATCTGCACCCATGGGGTTTGACATGAATGGAGAAAAATACACAACCAGATTGACAGGTTTCACTGAAGATTTTTGACGTGAACTTCAAGTGGAAACTTAATGCATTTTAGCAACCATACTAAATATCCTTAGCACATTAAATCTTAATTATTAGCCGTCCTTTCCTCTCTCCAAACCTCCATGCTTCCTATTCCTAAGTTGCAGCTGATGAAATTGTGGCTTCCACCACCAAAAGCAAACTTACAGATTCCAGTCACTAAATCTATGCATGTATGGTATCTATACCACATCCTCTAACTGCTCCTTAATCACTGTAGAGCAGGGTGTTAAACTGAATGCCAGTATCCCCCATATTGGCTCCCACCATTGTGGGGACTGGCAAGTGTGAATGCTGAAGAGCAGCAGGCTGGAGATCAGGGGAGAGTTGATGCTGGAGTCTTCAGTCTGAAGGCCAATCTAAAGTCAGAATTATTTTCCCTTAGTGGAACCTCAGTGATTTTTTCTCTTAAGGCCTTCAGCTGATTGGAGAAGGTCCACCCCACTTACGGAGGGTAATCTGCTTTAATACAAATTTACTGATTTAAATATTAACCACGCCTAAAACATACCTTAACAACAGCCTCTAGACTGGTATTTGACCAAGCAACTGTGGACAATACACTCACCAAGTTGATACATAAAATTAACAATCCCATCAGGTCATTGTCATCAGCATAATAATGAACTGAAATTTCTCTCATTTAAAAATGTAATTTATCTTGACCTGATCCTATTTCCTTTACTAAGTACCAATCTACTTCTCTGTTTCCCTTTTCAGTAAACCTCCCTGAAAGAGTTGTGTAGATACACTATTCCCAAATTTCCTTTACATATCCTATCATGAAGCTACACTGATCATACAGTTATCCCCACTCTAGCAAAAGTGCTCTTGGTGTAATCATTGACCTCTACCTTGCTAAATCTAATATTTGATTTTACACTGCCCATCAGAACCATATAATGCAGCCCACCTTTATCTCCTTCTTGATACACTTTTCTCATTTTGCCTCCAGGATATTACTCTTCTTCTTTGCTTTCCTAACTCTTGTCTTCTTTCTTTTTCTTCTTTTATATCTTACACAATAATATTGACTTCCAAGAGCCAATCCTCAAATCTCTCCTCTACTTCTCCACTGCAGTGGTTATCTCATTGGTTATCTCATTCAATCAAATGGCTTATGTGCCAATGAATTCCAAATACCATCTCCAATACGGACCTCTCTCTTGAAAATACAGATTAATCAAACTACTTACTCAACTTCTCAACTAGAGTGTCTTATAGACATTTCAAATTCCACATATCTAATACTGAATCCTTCCTATCTCTCCCAAAATCTACTTCACCTACCACCTTTTCCAATTCAGTTGATGACAATTTCAGCTTTTCATGCCTTCAGACACAAATGGCATGTGATGTTATACTTAAGTATATTTTTCCTTCACATCAGACACTCAGAAACATTTCTGTCTCTGCCTTTAAAATGTAAACAGACTCTGACTACTTCTAACTATCTCATTGATATCTCACTACTCATCATTCTAACCCAAGCCTCTATCATTACTAGTCTAGACTTCTGCAGTGGCTTCCTCACTGTCTCTGTGCTCTATCTTTGCCCCCATGCTGTCTATTTGTAGCAGAGCAGCTGGAGTGATTCTTTAATCATATGTGAAATCATGTCACTTATCTGCTCAAAATCCTGCTTATAGGTTTCCATGTAACTAAAAGTAACAACACAATATCCTTACATTGGTACAAGTCCCTCTGTGTGGTTGGGCCTCTAATTCTTCTCTAACCTCATCTTCTGCTCTCCCGATAACTCATGGCCTTCATATCACAGAGGGCACGGAGGGAGGAGTATTTCTTGAAATTCCTGGAACATGCCAGCCACACTTTCACTTTACGGCATTTGTACTGGTTGTCTCCCCAGATATCTTTATAACAAATGCTTTTACCTCTACTCACTAGCTCACATGTGCTCTTCTTACTGAGGCCTACCACAGTCTCACTTTTAAAATCATAATCCATACTTCCAATGCCTATACATAACATAATCTTGCTATGATTGTATTTTGCCAAAGTGCTTTTTTCCTGTGTGTGTCTCAAGATCTCTTTTAGGAGATTAGCTATCAACTCTGGCCATGCCCTGATGGGGCTCCAGAGGATTTGTATTTGGTTGTACCTATGACAATGTGCCTTTCACAGAATGCTTCTTTATCCCTGTATACATTCTAATATTTAAGTATCCAATTTGTGATCACTGGTCCCTTTCACAGGAAACTCATTTATATGGGCAGACATTTTCGTGGTTCTTGTCTGACTTGTGTCCAGTTTATTTCTACCATAGCCACTCTCTAGGAGCACTCTGACTAGGAAAGAAGATAGGTTTTGGTGTGTTGCTCAGGTGAGCCACAGAGGAGGCAACTCAAGAAAACACATGAAATAACAGAAGCAGTTTATTACTTACAGATCCAGAGAAAAAAGGGCAAGTCTTGCAGGGACAATAGGAAATGGGAAGCCATATAGCACACACATTCAACCATCAGGTAGAGAGTAAGAAAGGCAGAAAGACCTGTGAGTTGAAGCCTTTTTTGGGGGCTAAGGGCATTATCTAAGCAGGTTTCCAAGGGAAGTTTTAATTGGTGGGTGATATAGTTTGTCACTGTCCCTACCCAAATATCATTTTTTCTTTTTTTTCTTTTTTTTCAGATGGAGTCTTGCTCTGTCACCCAGGCTGGAGTACAGTGGCACCATTTGGCTCACTGCAACTTCTCCCTCCCGGATTCAAGCGATTCTCCTGCCTCAGCCGCCGAAGTAGCTGGAATTACAAGCGTCCACCAACAAACCTGGCTAATTTTTGTATTTTTAGTAGAGATGGGTTTTTGCCATGTTGGCCAGGCTGGTCTTGAACTCCTGACCTCAGAAGATCCGTCTGCCTTGGCCTTTCAAAGCGCTGGGGTTACAGCCGTGAGCCACCATGCTCGGCCTTACAAATATCATCTTGAATTGTAGTTCCCCTAATCCTCACACATAGTGGGAGGGACCCAGTGAGAGGTAATTGAATCATGGCAGCCTTTCCCCCCCATGCTATTCCCCTGATGGTGAGTTCATTCTCAGGAGATCTGATGGTTTTAAGGGGCCTCCTTCTTCACTCAGTTCTCATTCTTCTCTCTCCTCCCACCATGTAAAGACGGATGTGTTTGCTTCCCCTTCCGCCATGATTGTAAGTTTCCCGAGGCCTCCCCAGCCATGCAAAACTGTGAGTCAATTAAACCTCTTTTCTGTATAAATTAGGCAGTTTCAGGTACGTTTTTATTAGCAGCGTGAGAATGGACTAATACAGTGGGCTTATAGCAAGCAGGAACAAGTCCAATAGTCACACTGTAACTGAGCAGGGGCCACTGCAGCATCTACACAGTCCACGAGAGGTGAGAAGGCCAGAGGGGTAGGTTGTATCTGCTGTCTCACAGGGAGGTGGTCACCAGGAGACAGTTGTATACGGCAGATATCGGAGGCGACCACATATAGGACTTTGGAGGAAGTGAAAACTCCTTTGAGGGTCACTAAGCCAAGCTTCTGGTATGTGCAAGTTAAACCTATTTTCAAAATGGATGCTGAGGTAACATACAATTTATAAGAATTGGCTAAATATTATACTTACTTAGTGTAACAATGGTGGAGTGTATGTCTCCCACTGATAGAATGCAAGCTCCACAAAGGTAAAGAAAGTGGTCTTTTTTCTATAAAAAATGGTATGTTCACTGAAGTATTTCAAACATCTGGAACAGGTTCTAGTATAGATACTCAACAAATATTTGTTGAATTATGTTGAGCTGCATAGCTCATTATCTCTTCCCATGAAGCTGTTTAGAACAAATTTTCCAGTTTTTTTTTTTTTTTTTTTTTTGAGACGAAGTTTTGCTCTGTCGCCCAGGCTGGAGTGCAGTGGCGCGATCTTGGCTCACTGCAAGCTCCGCCTCCCAGGTTCGCGCCATTCTCCCGCCTCAGCCTCCCGGGTAGCTGGGACTATAGGCGCCCGCCACCGCGCCTGTGTAATTTTTTGTATTTTTAGTAGAGACGGGGTTTCACCGTGTTAGCCAAGATGGTCTCCATCTCCTGACCTCGTGATCCGCCCACCTCGGCCTCCCAAAGTGCTGGGATTACAAGTGTGAGCCACCACGCCCAGCCGCAGTTTTTGTTATTTAAGGAAGAGTGTAGTATTCCTTGAGAGATAGAAAACAAATGAAAATTACAGCTGAATTTGGCTTTAACACTTCACTGTTTTATGAGATGAACGAGATGCATTCACCTCATTATTGTACAATGGTTACTTTTAAGCCATTCTGTCCCATTTTTCAATATTGCTATCTTAAAATCAGATTAGATTTGCCTAGAATGAAAATAATTAAGCTTATATCAAAATAACTGTTAACAGAAATGCCGTCTTTGCCCCTGCCCCCCCATCCCCCAACACAGACACACCTTTGAACTTTCGAGAAATGCTGGCTTATTTTTATCTGTAGGTATTCAGGTTTAATAGGGTATAATTCTTAATTAATTAATTCTTTATCTCTCTATTGCTTCTCTCCTGCTGCTTCTTGTTCTTTTTCTCATTTCATTTATAAATAATAGGTACATACATTGTTTTTTTTCTAGAGAAAAACTCTTAATTCTTCCATCCTTGGAAATTTATCTGATTACAAAAAGGTTTAGGAGACCATTTTGGCAATACATAACAGTGGTTCAAATCCCAGATCTGACAAAAATTAACCACTAGGGAATGCAAAATGATTGTGCTGTTCTTCGGTTTCCTCGTGTGTCAAATTAAGAAAATAAGAGTATTTTAGAGTTATCTAGAAATTAAATTATTTTACACATTTGTAGTTTATAAAATTGTGGATTGCAAACACTAAAAAGTCAATATTAGCTCTCCACTTCTTATATTTATAATCCCAAGGGATGTTAATAAAAGTTCTCAGTACATGGACAATGTGTTTAAGCTATTATTAGGACAATTAGAACCGAATAAAACACTTAGAAAACCTATTTTCTTCTGCATTTGTTCATATAGAATGACTGTTTTATTAGATAGTTAAGGCCATCTGTTGGATTATCATGTGTGACCAGTTAGAAGTTTATATTAATACTGAAAACATTTCTATTTTTAAAAAATCCTCCACTTTTTGTTCAATATTTTAAGTTATATATTTAATTTTTCCATGGGAAAAATATAAACTTTATAATCTTGTGAAAATTGTCAGAATCAAAATGGAATTACTAATGTTAAAAAAAAAAATCCCCCACAAATAGAGCCAGGAAAGGCAGTGAGGAGAAAGTCCTCATGTTTGTATGCGTAATAACAAAAAGTATCACAGTAACCTCTGCAAAAACCACACCCTTGTACAAAGACCATCACAACCTTACACAAAATACTTCTGCAGAGATATCTGCCCAGCAATTGCCTGTCCAAACTCAGACTGGCATCACCCTTGTGACCTTTGTAGGCAGGGATAATGCTTTCAAAACAATTATGTAATTCTCCTCATTCTTTTTCCTTTAGAAACCACAGTTTTTCTTTACATCTCTAAATATCCACATGGTTTAATATGGCATGAGTATTCTCATTGCAATGCTCTATTCCCAAATAAATATATGTTTTTCTTTTAGAAAGCCAATGTTTGTTGTTTAGATGGTCAATCTTTTTATGATCTTTTCCTGATCCTTGTTTTTACTTTTCTTTAGATTTTTTTGTTGTTGTTGTTTTTATGAACTTAGACTTTCAAAGTTATCCTATGTGACCTTGAAAATTGAAAATGTTTCTTTAGGTTTTCTTTTACTATCATTATTTTTTTAAAGAAAGTGCTCCGTGAAAAAGGGCAAGTTTGATAACATCCTATATTTTGAATTTGTTGAGAGTTCATCAGAGACACAACATCTTATGGGGAATTACCTCCCCACCAAGATCAGAGTACATACTCAGTTTCAATTGCTGCATTTCGTCTTTCAATTTAAAGGGGGCTAAATATCATCTAAAAATACTCAAGCACTTGGAAAGACTTTTTAACTAAGCTTCATTCCATATGCATGGCAGCTAGCTTGTTATAGGATTCCTTTCCAACTTGTCTGTGTGCTGTCCAGCAGGAAGGAGCATTCCCAAATATGTTGGCACTTGCTTCCTAGTTGCAGCAAGCAGGGAATTAACATCTGCAAAGAGGAGATTACACTCATGCATCATATTGAGATTTTTCACACTCTTCTGTTACTCCTTCAAAAGTAACTCCCTTGTGACATATTCCATGACGGAGCTAACAAATCTGCAGGCAGCAGACAACCTTGAAAAGTAATTAATGATAATATCTTTTCCTCACCACTATGCTTGCCTTTTTTTTTTTTTTTTAGCTCTTGACTAAATCCCTCATGTAATATTTTTTTAAAAGTTAGAAGTTTCCTTGCATAGTATTCCATAAACCACCTCATTCTTTATTATTAATTCCAAAACACCCTCAGCTGAACAAAGGTATATTATTCTGTCAAATGAGAAAGTGTTTGTGTGTATCAAGATACAAAGTAAGACTACATTATTAGAGTATAAATGGCATTTTCACTTGAGTGTTTCCTTTCATAATATATGATTTTATGTATCTTGTAATACTTTTTAAATTGCTCTGTGATTCCTCACCTGTTTATCCTGGGGATGCTGTTTTACCTGAGAGAGAGAGAAAGAGAACGAGAGAGAGAGGGAACATGAGAGAGAGAGAAAACAAATTGGTATCAAGATAACCTGATAATTGACTGATTACTTCGATTATTTCAATGATTCTGTATTATGCAGAAACTGCATCTTGGAAGCATTTATCATATTGGTAGAAAATAAGCAAACTCTTTCCTCTACACATATCAGAAAGGTGTTGTAAATTCTTATTTTTATAGGTAAAATGCTTTTTGTTAGGGCCAAAAGTTCAAATTCTCAGATTATTATAAGTGGGTGAGTGAGCTAGACTTATCTCTGAAATGTATATTATGTGAAATTGGTATAATTCTATTTGCCTGACATAAACATGTTAAAGTTCATTTTGAATATCAAAGAAAAATGGATTATAAATATCTTCTTACATTATTATATAGCCAATGTTCACTCAGTGTCTATTACGTGCCATCCACTATGCAAAGCATTTTTTATATATTATCTCATTCAATTTTTAAACCAACCTTAGAAAGTGAGTGCCATAATTATTTTCCTTTTTCAGTGGAAGAAACTGAAGCTCAGAGAGGTTAAATACATTTCCCAAAGCCATAAACAAAGTAGAGCCTGGAGTCAGTGCCAGAAAATTTACTAAAATTCCAGCACCTACTATAATTGTCATATTTCTTTAAGTCTTTTTATTTTCAAGCAATAGTAATAACCATAAAAAGGCACCTAAAGTAATTTCCCACATAGATAAAAATGTTGCAAATTCTTAATATTCTTTTCTCAGTGGAATCTTTTTAAGTCCCTTATTGTCCTACTATGTAGATATGCTGGGGATTTTTAAGTTGTTCTACTTATGTGTCTTTGTTTTTGTTAATCAATATAATTAAAATATACTATTCTATAAATGAGGGGAAAAGTCAATAAAGATATCCAAATTATTTATTTTTAAATTCATTTTATATAGAGATTACCTGTAGGTTTATGATTGTACAAACTAGTAATTTAATCAAGTCTATTAAAATTTACATTAAAATTATATAACAAACTATCAATCTCTATTTCATAAAAGAAAAGCCCTTCAACTATGAAAAAAATGACGGATATATTTAGTCTTTCTGCATTCTTTGTATGAAAATGAACTTGCAGTAAACAAATTAAAAATAAAATTTGATGCTGGGAATTAAATTTATATTACTGTCTCCTGATGTAGATTCGAACTATAATCATGAATTAAAATATTCAGATCCAGTAATTTTTACCCCATAATCTGGCAATCCATTAAAACTGCCACATAAGGTCAGGCGCAGTGGCTCACTCCTGTAATCCCAGCACTTTGGGAACCGAGGCGGGTGGATCAACTGAGGTCGGGAGTTTGAGACCAGCCTGACCAACATGGAGAAATCCCATCACTAGTAAAAATACAAAATTAGCCAGGCGTGGTGGCGGGCGCCTGTAGTCCCAGCTACTCTGGAGGCTGAGGCAGGAGAATGGCGTGAACCTGGGAGGTGGAGCTTGCAGTGAGCTGAGATTGCAACTCTGGACTCTAGCCTGGGTGACAGAGCGAAACTCCATCTAAAAAAAAAAAAAAAAAAACCTGCCACATAAATTGCAGTTTCAATGCTAATTTCTTTACGTCATAACGGTGTGCGCTCAATTCTTAGGTCTTCTGCTGTCTCATAGAAAAGCACAACATACCATTTATCAGGTAAGGTTAATGGAAAATTGATTCACAAGTTGTATTAGTCTGCTCAGACTGCCATAACAAAATCACACAAACTTGGTGTAATAAATCACATAAATTTATTTTATCCGAGTTCTGAGGCTGGAATTCCAGGATCAAGGTGCCAGCAGGGTTGGTTTCTGGTGAGGCCCCACTCCTCTGCTCGCAGATGGTGGCTTTCTCCCTGTGTGTTTGTATGGCCTTTCCTCTGTGCTGCAGCAGAGAGAGTGAGCTCTGGTGCCTCTCCCTCATTTTAAAAGGACATCAGTCACATTGGATTAGGGCCCCAATTTTTTTGTTTGTTTGTTTTGTTTTTTTGACACAGAGTCTCACTCTATCACCCAAGCTGGAGTGCAGTGGCTCAATCTCGGCTCACTGCAACCTCCGACACCCGGGTTTAAGCCATCCTCCTACCTCAGCCTCCTGAGTAGCTGGGATTACAGGAGTGTGCCACCACGCCTAGCTAGTTCTCGTATTTTTAGTAGAGACTGAGTTTCACCATGTTGGCGAGGCTGGCCTTGAACTGTTGAACTGAGGTGATCTGCCTGCCTTTGCCTCCCAAAGTGCTGAGCCACCTTTTTCACATAATTTAACATTAATTACCTCCTTAAGGGTCCTGTCTCCACATATTCTCACATTGAGCATTAGGGCATCCGCAGATGCATTTTTGAGAGAAATTATTCAGTCCAAAACACTAGTAAAACATCAAGATCAACAATCTAAATGGGATTGATGTCTTTCATTTAGGAAATGAAAATCAACTAAAATATATCTAATTTCATACTTACGTAACATATTGAACCACAAAAATTTGGATCCTGTTTACAGACCTCATAAATGAAAACAATTATGTGACATCCCAAATATCTACCTGAAAGTTTGACAGTATGACCATAGAGTCAATGACCACACACAAATAACAAAGTGGTTTTCATTTGGCAAATGCAAGTCTTACATTTTGTATTCCTTTCAAAGTCAGAGGTGACTTGCTTCTTTGAACTAACCTAATATTGAAAGTTTAAGTTCCAAGGCAAAATTTTTTTCTGCAATATTATGCCAAGAGGCATATCAATCTGAGAGTCTTTATTCAATATACAAAATAAGAGTTATCAATCTTAAGATATTGCCAACATTCATTTAAACTCTTAAAATATTTCCCTACCCACAACACACATACTTTCAGGCACGGGGTTGGGGAAGATCACAGATTATTTTGAGCACATTTTGATACCTGCTTCGATGAAGTGCAGAGTAAACTTCTGATTTTAATTAGAACATTGAGTAGGGCATAAATTATTTGTCATTGTTAAAACCATTGATACAATAAAATGGTTTAAGTAGTAGATTTTAAAAATTAATTTGGTGGCAATATTATGCTGCAAGCTGTCACAATTTCAAAAGTAATTCCTCACAGGAAACTTAAAAGCAATGTATTGTTTTTTCAATAAGCCAAATTTAAGTCAAAAATTTTCAATGTCATTTGTTTTCTAAGAAAGCAAATAATGGCTTATAAAGCTTTGGAAATTATCAGGTCTGTTATAATATATAGGTCTTTTCTATTGTGCAAAATGAGACCACTGAATGTATACCAATCATAAATCTCTTGATGTTCAGCAAACATTCTGTAAAGTGTCTATTGCAGGCTATGTAAACCTCTAGGCTGCAAAGATTCAGAGAGAAACAAGATTTACTGCCTTCAAGTTGTTTGCATTTGAGCAAATTCTAATAGCTCTAGAGATTTTCTAAGCAGATCATGATAGAGAAAAGGGGTGAGGGAAGTTTAATGCCATGGCCTGAATTTCTAGCATTGATGTCCCTTAAAAATTCATGTGTGTTGGGTTTAATGCCTGGGTGGGTTGTTGTTATTGCTGTGTTATATGTCTGCTGGGAGTCAGGGGATGCTTGATTTTTGGCAGGCTTTCAAAACGGTGCACATTGAGTTGTCTAATATATTTAATATATACCAGGAGGGAGAAGCAGGTTGGTACTGCATGTGAGTATGAATATGGAACTTAGAGATGAAGTATAGATAGAGTTTTGGGAAAAGGTAACATTTAGGTAGATGAGTGTGTATGAACATGAATGTTGTATCACATGAGAAGTGATGAACAAAAGCCAGAGTCAAGCAAAATTTCAGAGACAGAAAAATAGTTGGCTAACCCAACACCCATTCCCAAATAATTCCTCCCTTATCAACTTCACTCCAGAAATTGGAGAAGCCAAATACCTGTGCCTACTCTCCAGTGTTACTAGAAATGACCACTGAAATAATTTATATTAGAGAAGACTAGAGAAGAACTCCGCTGGGAATCTCCAACCAAAATTTTTTTTTTTTTTTTGAGATGGAGTCTAGCTCTGTTGCCCAGGCTCGAGTGCAGTGGCGCCATCTCGGCTCACTGCAAGCTCCCCCTCCTGGGTTCATGCCATTCTCCTGCCTCAGCCTCCGGAGTAGCTGGGACTACAGGCGCCCGCCACCACGCCCGGCTAATTTTTTTGTATTTTTAGTAGAAACAGGGTTTCACCATGTTAGCCAGAATGGTCTGGATCTCCTGACCTCGTGATCCCCCCGCCTAGGCCTCCCAAAGTGCTGGGTTTACAGGCGTGAGCCACCGCGCCCGGCCTCAACGAAAACTTTTACTCTCCTTTCCAAGGGAGTGATTTTTCTGCCATCTTTTTCTCTCTTCTTTGTTGAATATGATTACGATGACTGAAGTCACAGGATAGATCTTATAGAAAAGGCCACAGAAATCTCAAGCAATGTTGTCCCTTTTACTCTGAATTACTCACCAAACAGTAGCAGCCACATACCTCCAGATATTATATTATCTTGAGATAACACTTCTGTTTAAGTCGCTAAGTGAAATTCTCACCTCTTGAAGATGGCTGCATGCTATTACGGAGAAGTAGTTCATGAAACAAAGACAACTGCAAGAGACACAGTCAAGATGTTAATAGCTATCTCCAACTTTATACCAATAAGTCAAGGGAAAGCAACTCTAAAATGGTAACATAAATCAAGAACGAAACATGATTTAATTTGTAAAGATTTGATTTATATTTTAAAATTTAGAAAATGTGCACAAATAGACCTAAATTTATGACAGATACCTCTTTTGTTAAATGATGCTTTCCAACTGCTTTAAAAATTAGTTTTAAGTTCATTTTGCACAGATCTGGATTAAATAAGACATTTCAATGAGCAGATTATTTATAAGATTAAAAGCTGTTTGTTCTATTTTTCTCCCAAATTAGAAATAACCCCTTTAAATTTCTGTAGTAGCACGTGCTCAATAGAAAAAGCCAGCTATTACTACTAAGTAAAATACAATGGCAAAAGTACCTGGCACTCCCAATACCAAAAGAACGCTTTTCACGTATTGATACTTCAGTTTCCAGATTTGTTTCTTTTGGTTTAGTCACAATTGGGTACATACCAACCTATAGTGACACAAACATGGTATATAGAAATAAATGGATTATAGGAATAATAGTATTTTGTAGAGAAATATTTTTGTTACATAGTTCAGAGAGTAATATATTAGTTATATAGTTACTTTTTCAGTTACTCCTTGTTTTTTAAATACGACTTTTTTTTTTTTTTAAGACTGGAAGTCTCTCTCTGTCTCTCCCAGGCTGGAGTGCAGGGGCGCGATCTCGGCTCACTCCAACCTTCGCCTACCAGGTTCAAGTGATTGTCTTGCTTCAGCCTCCCGAGTAGCTGGGACTATAGGCGCATGCCACCACACCCAGCTAATTTTTTGTATTTTTTGTACAGACGGGGTTTCACCGTGTTACTCAGGATGGTCTCAATCTCCTGACCTTGTGATCTGCCGGCCTTGGCCTCCCAAAGTGCTGGGATTAAGGCGTGAGCCACCGTGCCCTGCCAATATGCCTTATTTCTAATAGTATATTTCAGAAATAAGTCTTTGTTTTTTGGATTGTATTATTGAAGGAGAGTTTATATTCCAAAGTACATTTGCTGTAAATTTGATAACTTTAAATTAGATAAACAAAAAGGCATAGTTTGTACACCTAAAAATGTTTGAGAATACTATCCCCAATATTAAGGCAACTATGAATAGATTAATTTTCCTTTGGGGACAAATACTACAACCTCTAACTGAATAAAAATTGTGATTTTTTATTGTTTTTCTTTATTATGCTTGCAATTGACTTAATTAAATACACACTTATCATACTAGTTGAATTATTTCAATTAATTTTATTTCATGATTATTCAAGATAGTATGGTTTATTAACATGACACAAACAATGTAGAGTTTTGAAACTTCATTTGAAGTATGCTAAGTAATATGAATAAAACATGTGGTTGATCTATGTATTTTATAGTTTGTCTTTAGTTTTTCTTAAATTGGGAATCATGTAGTGTACATTTTTAATATGTGTACACTTCTGTATTTCTCAATTTAATATGGTCACAGAACAATAAATTTGGATCCAAATTGTCAGTCCTTATTAAATGCCCCATTTGGTAGAGACATCTTAATTTGAAAGAGTAACATTTACTATTCAACTAACATGAAGACTTTACCCTGCCAAGAGATGAAATCTATATTTTTATCGCTTTAATTTTTGACAACTGTTGATGTTGTTTATTTTAAAAATTATATATTTCATTAACATGCTCCAAAACATGGACTTTTGCATTTTTTTGATGGTAGAGACAAGTATTTTTGGTTTAACCAAAATGAGTAAATTAAAATCATTATTCAGTTATTTTAATCAGTTTAGCAATTGTGACATCAACTTCTCTATCCATTTTAATGTGTCTTTGCTCACAATCTGAGCTAATAAAATGGTGACAAAAAGTTCTACCACAAAAGAGTAGAAAGAGTTGGTGAGTAAAGAGAAAGATTTGTCTATAAAGAAATACATGGTTTTAAATTTAGGACTTGTCTTATTAAATACTATCAGAAATAAAATATCACATTAATATTTTTAGAACCATCCCACTACAAATAACCATTTGATTTCATGGTGATTACTAGATAAATAGTTTATGAAAAATAAGCACATAAGCTAGAATATTGTAATGAAAAATAGTTAATTTCAAATATATACTTTTCTATGCATAGCACTTAGCAGATTGATAAAAATAAGAGTAGGCAAACATCTATAAACAATCAAATTACAAGGGTATTTAACTAAGCAAACAAATCAATCAGTCAAATTAGGACATCTGGTCACCTTTGCTTAGAAACAATTTTGTATAGTTAATACCATCCCAATATTAATGCACTTAACTTAAGCTGCAAGTCCATTTACTGTCAAAATAATTCCTTTTGTCCTAGCTGTGGTGCTGGATAAGTGTTTCTTTGCCCTCTGTGCTGCTGTGTTTACAGAGAGTATGTTGACATATCAGGCTTCAATTCACCAAACGCAAGGCATCTTAAAGCATGCAATAGGACTTTAGCAATCCTAGGTAGAAACAAATATTCTCATTATAAGAAATGAATTTCTTTTACTGGTTCAAGAAAGTCAGGATCATTGTTACACAGATCTCAGAAATATTAAACAGCCAAAACAGCAGCAAATGGGATTCAAAAAGCAAAAGCAGATACTTTAACAAAAACTTCCTAGCTTCTTCTGGACATTCATTCAAAGGCTTCATTCATTAAGCCAGCTTGCAATATCAGTGCCCATCGTGTCTCAGAGAGCCAGAAAGACTAAGCTGCTGGTTTAAAACAAAGCATGTCCTGTGGCTTGCAATCTCTTTTTGGAGTCTAAAGGACATATAAAATTATTCAAACAGTTAAATTACAAAGATTAGGAAATTGTACTCAAATAGTAAAGGGCTTTTGGCTTGAATTTCAGGCTACTGAAGAACTACACATTAAGGGAAATTTGAAATAAAATTTGATGAAAGTGAGAAGACAGTCCCTGCCATTAACTATTTGAATATAAACTTGAAAAGCCCACCAATATTTTATAAGCTTTAGTTTAAAGCCCTTTTTTTCAGCTTAAGCCTTTTGTGTTTTAATGTCTTGCACCAGCACTTAGCTGTTTTATGTTATCCATGAGAGTTTCTAAATTGCTGCCTCCACCTAATGGAAGCCTCAGGAAATTATAAAGCCAATTTCACTATAGTTATTAAGCAGAAGTTTTCTAAATTATCCAGGAGACACTAAGTAGTAGCATGAAGGCAAAAAGGCTAATAGAAGTCAAAGAGTTTAACTAGTATTTTTTTTTCACATTCTCTTGCTTACTGCCACAGTGAAGAGAAAGGCAAAGAGAAGAGCAAACACATTGTGTAATCAGCATTCATTTACTCTGCTTTTCCATGAGCCTTGGCCTTTCTACAACATTATAGCATTAGGTTTGGGCTCTATGATTATCATATATATGTATTTTTAACACTATTGATAACAAATTGTGCTAGGAAATCTGTGTTGAGCTTCTTGAAAAAAAAATAGTTAAAAATAGAGGGGTGGTTTGTACAGCCAAGGTGGTATAGTGAATTTACACATCAACAATCACATTTGCTGCAAATACATCAATGGACAGTAGGCAAAACAAAAGTTACAAAACTGGGCTTATAAAATGAATACACATCTACAACTAAAATTAAAACCACCACCAATAAATCAACATGAAAAGAGAGCAACAATAAAAAAATAAGCGAACATACTTATCCTATTGTCTAAAGGAGTTTTAGTTCCATAGGCAGATGGCAAAAATTTGACTCCTGCAGCAAAACATGGACTAAACCCATTCCATACCTGGATGAGAACCTGGATCAAGCCTCACAGGTCAAATTTAAGAGAGAGAATCATAGGGAGAAAGGAGGGAAAAGCAGGGATGAGAGAGAGAGCGCGCAAGAGTATGCAAAAGAGAGAGAAGTCCAAAATAACAAAAAAAATCTAAAATTAGGTGATAAACCTAAGAAAGATAACCAATACATTTTATAATTAAAATACAAATTCACAACAGAAAAAAATGTTACTTAACAACATGAAATATACTAAGAATATTCAAGATATTTACAGGAATAAAATTAAGATCTTTATTTTAAAATATATAGACAAAAAATATGAAACAAAAATAGGTACAGCTATTACGAGTCAGTTCTAAGTATTTTAAAAATTTTACAAATTAGAAATCTTGGATAAGATCTAAATAATACATACTATTAAGGATTTGAAACGTCAAGTAGACACAAATTAGTGCATTCCAACATAATTCCAAGGATTTTATTGCAATTTAAGCAAAGAGAAAAGCTGCTTCTACCTATCATGTGGAAGATAATTATGAATCCTCTCTGACAATAATAAGTAGAAAACCAACAAATTTTTAAAAGCATATAAGAACTCATGTCACAAAAATACCCAATGAACTAAAGTACAATTTGATAAATACCTCTTGCCCACAAAGAGGCTCATAGTTGCTTTTATCCTTATAGAGCAATAGATGTAAAAAGAACAGACCTGGGTAAGAAGACAGAAAATGAGAATTCTTTTTATGACTCTTTTAAAGGCAAAATGATGGCTAGCATAAGAAGGAGCACTCTCTACAGGCATAGATTTAAAGACAGGATATATTCACAGACAGATTGTAGGCAGAGCAAAACACCTGGAGATACTACCCTGTGTGGTATAGATGTATCAGGCCTGCAGAAATATTAGGGCAAGTTTGGAAAACAGAGATGAACACTATAAGCACCTCAGGCTTTAACTGTGTCCAAGGCAGCCACCCTTTACAGTTGGGGAAATAGTGGATAAGTCTGTGCTCAATACACACAGGAGAGTTGACAGAGTCTGTGGCTCACTAATGACTGTGAAAAAGTCTCTCCTAGTCTTACAGTGAGTATTAAACACTGGATACCTGCATCTGGATGAGGGGCAAGAAAGTTGGCAGAGATCTCTCCAGGGTTGCAGTTGCCTCAGGCTAGCTGAAGGCTAAAAGCCGAAAGAGCTAATTGAAATATGACTTTTTGAAAAACAGAAGCTTCTGGTCCTGAACACAAAAAAACCTGAAGTATGCAATTAATTGAACCCCACAAAAGCAAAATAATAATAAACGAAACTGTTTCAACGCAGACTTGATTACCTCAAAAGTATTCAACTTGACAGAAGAGAAAGCCTACAATTTTCTGTGGACAAATGTAACCTACTTTCATTTGTAAGACTATATGATCAAAATGTCTGGCATCCAATTAAGCAAAAGATTACAAAGCACAAAGGAACAAGGCACTATACGGTATATCATCAAGAAAGGAAACTGTCAATAGAACAAGAGTGAGAGATAACAAATTCTAGAATTACTACAGATAGACAAGATAAATACATTAAGAAACCTAGTCAATAAAGGGAATTAATATTCATTACATACAGGGGAAAAAGTGAAATTTAAAAATTAATAAAAGCAAAATGAAAATTATCAAAACTAAAAGTGTTGGCTGGGTGTGGTGGCTCATGCCTGTAATCCCAGCACTTTGGGAGGCTGAGGCGGCTACATCACGAGGTCAGGAGATCAAGAGCATCCTGGCTAACAAGGTGAAACCCTGTCTGTACAAAAAATACAAAAAATTAGCCGGATGTGGTGGCATGTGCCTATAGTCCCAGCTACTCAGGCGGCTGAAGCAGGAGAGTTACTTGAACCCAGGAGGCGGAGGTTGCAGTGAGCCCAGATTGCACCACTGGGTGACAGAGGGAGACTGGGAGACAGAAAGAGACTCGGTCTCAAAAAAAAAAAAAAGAAAAAAAAACCCAAAAAACTAAAAGTGTTATATTATAGATACATTGTTTGTTGACTCATTAGCAGAGATAATAATAAATAATGTTGAAAACAGGTAGAAAATACACAGTTTGAATTACAAAAGGGAAAAAGAGAATATATAAAGAAGAAAATGATGAATAATCTGAAATTTGTGAGACAATATCACACAGTCTAATATACATATTATTGGAGCCCCAGATAAAATATAAAATATAATGAATTGATGTTAAAAATATTTGAGAAATGATGTTTTATAGTATTTTTAATTGGTTAGTGATATCAACCCAGATATTCAAAGAGTTCAGCACATTCCAACCAGAATATGTGCAGAAAAAAGCACACCTATGCACACTCTATTCAAATTGAAAAAAATATATAACATTTAAAAGCCATTAGATGAAGAAAATAAAACAGTATAAGGAGAAATGCAATGAAAATAACAGATCTCTGCACTGCAGCAAATGAACAATAGAGCTCAGAAAACAATGACATGATATAATAACAATTATGAAAAAAAACAGTCAGCCTAGAATTTTAGTGAAAGTGTCTTTCATAAACAAAGTCAAAACAAATACATTTTTAGGCAAGCTGAAAAATTTTTCTTGAACAGATCTGCTGTAGAGGAAATAAAATATAAAAACATGCTTTTTAATATTTTTTCTTTTAAACCAGAGAAATGGTATCTGATAGAAACAGGCTATTACAAAAACTGGGGGAAAAGAGTAATGATGACATATATGCAAAATAAAAGATATTTTAAGAATAATTTTTGATGTGATCTGGGATTTATATTATATATACAGAAATCAAATAAATGACTTTAGAAGTTATGCCAGAAAAGAGAAAATGTATTAAAGGTTTTCCCTTGTAACACTTTTATCTGTTGGTTAAGCATTAGAATATGTTTGAAGATAGATTGGTTAAGCATTAGACTGTGTTTGACGATAGATTGTGAAACCTTAAAGAGGTATATTTTAGTATTCACAGTGACCACACAAAAATTCATTGTGGAAATTTTCTTCTGATTGCTTTAAAGTGTCCAGTGCAACAGTAAATAGTACAATTGGAGAATGTATTAGATATTTGAGAAGATAAGAAAAAATATGAAATGGTTATTTAGAATTGAATAATGCTGTATGATTTTTGTTCAGTAAAATCCTACCTGAGGTACATGGTCAAGAATTTCATGAGAGCAGTCAGAAAAGCATTTTTTTTTCCAGTTTCTTCAGTTGCATGAAAATGTAAAGAATTGTATTTAAGTAGGGTTTTGCTCCTGGTAAGCAGATAAACAGCAAGGAAGAGGAAAGGAATTGAGCATGTCTGCAGATTAATTATTATGATAAAACATGAATTTAGGCAGAGTAAACAAGATTAAAGGACTTGAGTTGGGTGAGAGTCAGAGAAAGGTGGTCAGAACAATGGGTGGTTGAACACAGAGATTCTGTAATTAGCATAGTGTAACAATGTTGGGACTTCTTTTAATTAGGTTCCAATGGGCAATTATGTCAAGGGGTAGTTTACATAAATAGTAGTGATACAACCTTCTACAATTTCCCTCATGATCTGAAAACAGAACAAAACTCAGTGGAAGGAAGTTTAAGGCATGTCATTAAATACTGCACAGGAAAAAGTGCACACAGCGTGTCCTGCAGTCCATTTGGAACTTAGTTCTTTTCAGAGTAAATTTAAGTCTTCAGACCTTCTTAAACAATTAGGCTAAATTTTCAATGCATACTTCTAGTCCTCAATATATAAAATACCAGTATTCTAAAAGACTCTTTTCTTCTCTATATATCCTTGCTTCTGCCATGCCAGCTTAATAAAAATAAACTTATATAAATGATAATGGTCAGTTGCAAAGGATATCATAGTTTTAGTTACCAGGCTTGCCAGTGACCTATTAAACATCAGTCTTCTCCCTACTAAATAAACTCTATGATTGAGATAAAACGAGAGTAATCTTCAGTGAACTGCTGCTGTCAAAACCTTGCCTGGACTGTATTTACTAAAATTAAAATTTGAAGCCACCCACTTGGACGACTTTAGATTGCTCCATGTCCGTTGTTTATTTTTCTTCTTCGAGGTTTCAGACCAATTCACTAAAAAGTTAAAATTTTAAGGTACTATTCTGTTATATACTTTTTCCCCTCCTGCTATGGTTTGAATGTATGTGTCTGCTCACAATTCATATGTTGGAGTCTCAGACTCAACGTAACAGTATTAAGACTTGGAGCTTTTAGGTGGTGATTATTATCAGGGCTCGAGGGAACAGGCCAGACCCTTTCGCCCCTTCCACTTTTCGACATCTGAGAGCACAACAACCAAGTTCCATCTTGGAAGCAAAGATCAAAACTTCACCAGACACTGAATCTGCCAGCACTTTGAATTTTTACTTCCCAATCTCTACAACTTTGAGAAAATGGATTTCTGTTGTTGATAAATTGCTCAGGTATTTTGTTATAGCAGCAGGAGCCTTCTAAGACACCTGCTAGAATACAAGCAAATTAAAAAATAAATTGGGGGACAGATCATTAAAACTATGATGCATGCTTTAATACTGACAAATGCATTTATATAATATGGATTTACATTTATAGTCAAAAGACTAATGATCTATGAATTGCCATCTTTCTAGCCTAAACAATGAGATTCTCAACCTGGAAAATATTGAGGAGAGTAGCACATTCTTACCAACTAGGATTATTGCTTCATATCAATTTAGGAAAGAGTCAACAAAACAAGGAGAATCTCTGGTACTTTCAGGCTTCTTTTTTTGTTTTTTGAGACAGAGTCTTGCTCTTGTCAACAGGCTGGAGTGCAGTGGCGTGATCTCGGCTCACCACAACCTCCGATTCCCTGGTTCAAGCAATTCTCCTGCCTCAGCCTCCCAAGTAGCTGGGATTACAGGCACGTGCCACCACGCCCAGCTAATTTTTGTGTTGTTAGTAGAGATGGGGTTTCACCATGTTGGCCAGGATGGTCTCGATCTCCTGACCTCGTGATCCACCCACCTTGGCCTCCCAAAGTGCTGGGATTACAGGCGTGAGCCACCGCGACAAGCCTTCAGGCTTCTTAGAGATTAATACATTACTATCAGGAATACTGGACAAGTAGATATCGGAGAGCAATCAGTGAACACACTCAGCCTCCAAGGGAGAGATGAATAGGGAAAGTGAAGAGAAAATTTTATGAATTTTTCTTATCATGAAAGATATTTCCAGTGGAACTTTAAATACAGAAGAAATGTTAGCCCTCTAACAAATTAGAACTATAAGATATTTAGACTCCAAATGCAGTAATCCGAAATCAGAACTGCGGCATGTAGCAAACAAAAACATATTCAGTACAATGTCCTAGGCTTTAAGGTATTTATTTAGAAATAAGTATATAAAAATTATTAGTCAAATGACAACATAAACTAAAAGAAAATGTAAAGAAAAATAAATATATAGGAATATGAAGCAGAGGAGAAGAGAGAGAGGTAGTGAGAGAGGGAAGAATAAACAAGCAAGCTGAAACTGAAGTTTTGGGAGGAAAAACCAACAACGTAGAAAAACTTCTTATAAGTTCTAACTAATCAAGAAATTAAAGGGAAGGCAGAAGTGACAAATCAACAAAGTTGGAAATAAGAAACTTATGTAAGCAAATGTGTATACAAGGATCATTAAAGTGCAGAGTACAGGTCAGAATATTCAGTAGAGAACTCCTTGAAACTGTGTTAATGTGGTGAAAACCTAAGAGAATTTCATGTCTCTGAAAAAATAAAAAATTGGAATTTCCATTTAAGGAGGAATTAGAAAGTATCCAAAATCAGTCTTTAAAATATGCATTGGTAATTTAAAGCATCACACATAAAAAGAAATGACGATCAGTGAGTCCTTGAGGCTTATTAAAACTAGACTTTAAGGAACACGTAATCCCCACTTTGTGTCCATGTTTTTAACTGAATATAAAGAAATCTATTTATTGTATTTTAAAAGAATATAATTACACAGACACACACACACACATTCATACATACAGAAGTAATGAAAATAAAAGGAAAGAGTTGTGTTTAACTTGACTGTTAATCAGATACCATCTCCAACTTCCAGAACTACTTTTCCAAGTCCTAGTACAATATCTATACAAACTCAACACTCACAGTATAGATACTATAGTACTGTATCTATACAAATTCAAACTAAACAGGGCATTAATAGGTAACTAAGAAGACAGAATTTAATCCTTGACTTCACAGAGCTTTCTATCTAGTAGAACTGATAATATTTGTATATAAATATAATGAAAGATGAAATGTGAAAAATGTTATTATAAATGTACCAAAATCTGTAAAAATGGTTAAGTGGTTGAAGAGGGGAAGGGGAAGAGTGAGAGAGAACATAGGATTCATCAAGAATCCTCTAAATAAGTTAAGGAAATAGTATGATTAGACTCTAAGGCTCATTTAGGGACTTCTATTAAAATTCTGATAACACAGCATATCATACTCTAGACTATTCAGCATTCAGTTAATTGAAAGTAATCTGGAAACTCAAAAAGGCCTTCCTTTGGATATTTGCTCACTTGCAATACAGACTCATTTTTATGGTGTATTTAGCTAGTGGATTAGTAAAGTGGGTATGTCAGAACGATTCAGCTTGCTAATTAGCGTTTTTAATGAGTTTTTACTATGTCACTCCCTAGCAGTCTATTTACCATTTTCAATACTGTAGTTTGGAAGCCAAAATCTTAGTGGGTTGCAATTAACTAAAAGTATTTCTACTGAAATAAGCCCAGTCAAAGATTTAGTAAATTCAACAATAGTAAACATAGTAATAACAAGGCAAGATATAAGAACAAATATATAAAAATATAAATATAAAAACATCAGAACATTAAAATTATAAAGTCAGAGTAGAAATGTGTTCATATAGAATTGAGCAAAGAAGATCTCTATGTTATTATATATGAAATAGTGCTTGTTTAAGTGAAGTTTTAATGAATTTGCACTTAAATTTAAACAATTTTAGTTTCACAAGCTGTAGACTATGTAATAGATTATTTCATTTGCAAATTCTGTGGCTTTGATGAATACACAGTAACTTATAAGCAGCACTTGTATATTAACTGCATTGATTTATTAGTATATTGCTACTGCATTATTATACTTTTACAGTAAATCCTGTATTAGTTCACCACAAATAATAGCAAAATGAAGATATACATGTCAGTCATGTGCATCTGATATGTGTGGCAGTCTATAGTCCAGAACAACACAGGAGTAAGTAAATCCTAATATACTATATATTATCATTCTCACTGTATTACAACTTCACCTCAGAGAGAGTTTAAAGTCTTATTTCAGACTTAGTGAGTTCTAAGTTTTGTACAAGACTGAGGTACATCAACTGTGTCCGAGGTAAAATTTTCTTTTAACTTTCCTGAGTATTTGTGTGGAAGATGTGACATAGCTGATAAGTTCTTCAATAACAGTGTGTTTTTCCCTTTCATATTACATGGCTGTCGTTAGGAAGATGGCTTCTCAGCTTAGGACGGCATTCTTTTTGACCCGTTGTCTTTGATGGTAGTGTGATTTCTCTCCAACAAAATCTAAGCAGTAATGATATGCATACTTTCCAGGAAGGTCGACCAGGGAGGCATCTTTTTCCTATTGAGGACTGAGGGCAGAGAATTATAAATATCGAGTGGATTGGAGAACTTTACTCTGGAAGCAACTTGGTTCCTGAATCAGCATAGAAAGCAAACAATCCCACGTTAGATAGGAATGCTTACATATATCAGCTAAATGGATGAGAAATAAATTTGTTTTGTTAAGCCACTGAATGGTTGTTTTATTTATTTATTTAGTTAGTTAGTTAGTATTGTGGAGAGCTATTCTAACTACAGAAAAAAATCAGAATTCCTCAACATACATGAGTAATTAAAAAAATTCAGTGTCTCAGCAATCATTTGAATGCTTATTGGTTACATTTACAAATTGGCCTCCTAATGAAAACCTATGAAATGAAATCCAATGTATTTATATGCATGGGAATTATACATATTTAAAGAATGAAGTGAAACTAAATGTTAAATGTTAATATCTAGAAAAATGCCTAAAATGCAGCTTTCCCCTCCCCCAATGCACACTTTAATTCATCCAGCCTGTCAACACATTGTGCTGAAAAGGTAAACATAAATATATGTTTTGTTTCATTAGGGATTGCTTCACCTCCTCTTTTCTCTTTATTTTATTTGTGTTGCTGTGAGGAATTGGGAGCCTATTATTAAAATAATTTTTAATCCTAAGAGAAAGAAAATAAGCTGATGACACAGATTGAAATTATGTGAAGAGAATGAGCTACAAGGAAGAAAGGGTTCAATGAAATCATATTACAGAAAGAACATGCAAGAACTCTGGCTTCCCCATAGGAATCTACGATTATACAAAATTAACTGCAAATCCCCTTTGTTTGTTATCACTTATTGATGGTTGGAGGCAACATAGCTAAAATATGAAAAGTGAAAATTTAATTAATCACTTGACTCTACTTACAATGAAATAATAGTTACTTATTTACTAATTATATACATATAATAATACAATACTCAGGCATAATTATCAGAAGTTCCCTCAAAGAGTGAGTATGAGTTCAGCTTCTAACATTTGTATAGTGGTAGGGTCAGACCATTTTATTTGCAGAGAGATTCTACTCAATCCTACAGTTGCACCTAACTGGACAAGGAGTGGGTACCTATTCTAAATTGCAACAGTCAGAACTTCTTCCCACAGAATTTTCAACTGATGTTAGAATCACTTTTCCCACGTCCTTTGGATGTTTAACTTGTAAACTCATGAAATCTGAATAGGCTCTTTTGCCGTATAAATTCAGTTGCCCATCCGGAGGAAGAATAATGGAGCAGGTGACCAGCAAAATAAGAGAAGGAGATACGTTAAAGACCAGCTTCTCAGGCATGCTTGAGGCCTTCCTGCACACTAATTCTTCTGCCTCTAGCTTGGGAGGAGACCCTGTATCCATTGTGCTTAATCTGACATCATTCATTTTCTATTATTTCAAATCCAAAAAAAGTTCTAGGTAATAGAAATATATAAAATAATTTTGGAAGAATAAATGAATTTCATATTCTGGAACTCCTTGAATCATTTATGCTTCTTGACTTGCAGGAGAACTGCATCAGCAAAATTTCATTGCATCAATGGCTGTTATTTCTCTATATTGGGAACAGAGGAAAGACAACCAACTCCTTATTTTTCTGAACCTTAGAATATATTTTTTTCTTTGAAATCTGTGAAGTTATTTCTGTTTTATGTGCAAAATTGTAACATCATTCACCTGACAGCAATTAAGAACAAAGCCTCATTCTATTCTAAGTGGTCTCATTCCATCTATTTCGCAAAGCACAAGACAATTAGCATACTTCTAAGTTTTACTTTCCTTTCTGATTAATATATTTATGAAATTTTACTGAAAGTAAAAGTGATCACTTAAAGTTAAACCTCATACAACTTAACCTTACGTAACTTACCTGATACATTTTTTAAATAATTAAAAACATGACTATAGACAACAAGGTTAGGTCCTGAGATTATATACTGTTTAAACTCAAAAAAAAAGTTTAATACCTTTAAATCTTAGACTACTATGTATACCTTATGTTTTAAGGTGTTACTGTAATTTATTCACTAACAGAAGTTGGTAATATTTAATACTTTTAAATTATTACTGTTACTTGAGGAAAACTGGTGAAACCACTTTACTATTTTTCTCATAAACATTTTTGTTTAGAATGGAGCAAACAAGTTTCAGCTTATTCTATTTTCTGTGCATTCACTGCATGAAAGACTTAAGACTCAACCTGGGCAGCAAGGACCTAAATTACATTTACGCATAATGGACAGAATGTGTATCCCAAATGACAGATCTCATTCTGCTGATGGAGGAGGTCAGTGTCAAGTGGAACGCAAAAGGCAAGGGGATGAGTGTTAATGACACTGAGATGCCTGCAAGTGGAGGAACAGTAAGTAGTTCTAGAGGTCAGGTAAGGAGTGGGTGATTCTGGGGATTGTAGTTCAGGCAGACTCCTGAGTTGGGATCTGTGGATGAAAACTGCATGTGAATTCCAGGGTGTTTTTCTGCCTTGGTTTGGCTGTAAACTTGGCTCACAGTGGGGAATGATACACTTGTAAATGGAGTCAGTGCCCAGAAAAGGTGGTGCTCACAATAAAAATTTTACACAAGCTACTCAGCACCCACACTACTGAAACATCTTTTCAAAGACCTGGAAACTGAAGCACAGCTGTAAATATTTTTACAGCAAGTGATTCTAGCATCCTGCAAACACTGAAGCACTTTTTTTTTCAAGCCTTTTGAAGTGCCAAGGCACATGAATATTCATAAAGAGGTATTTTGCCAACCCCAGGGCCTCTTCCTTGGGGTACACCTGACTCTATTCAGAGTGACAGTCAAACCAAACCATATACGGATTTGAGGAAAACAGACATCCACGTAACTTCACGTGTCCACACCTAAGGAAGAAGTGGTTCTCCACAAGAGCACCCTCACTGCAGACACCAGCTACATGCTCCAAGGCCACCCTCAATTCTGATCAGCTGGCTATAAATTCTGGGGCTCTCACTACCTGCTCAGGTTTGATAATTTGCTACAACAATTCACAGAACTCAGAAAGAGTTATGATTACAGTTTTATTATTATAGCAAAATCATACAGATCAAAATCAGCCAAGGGAAGAGACATGTAGGGCAAATTCTGGGAAGATTGTAACTACAGGCGTTTCATTGTTTCCTCCCTGCGGAGTCAGTACACATTACCCTCTTAGAACCACGATGTATGACAATATACGGCACTGTCAACCAAGGAAGTTCACTCAAGCTTCCATGTCTAGAGTTTTTATTGAATTTTCATTACCTAAGAATGATAGACTAAATCACTGTGCATGCTATTGAGCGCATCCTCCAGCTTCCTTCCCCTCTCCAGATGTCTGGCTGATATAATGTGGCTCAAAGCTCTAAGCTTTACAAGGTTGATCTTTCTGGCATGACCAGTCCCCATCTTAAATCACGTCTTTAGCACAAATTATCTAAAGGTACACCCTGAATCACCTCTACATAAACCATCAGATGTGGTCTAAAGAGTCCACCATGAATAACAAAGACACTTCTATCACTGAAGAGATTCCCAGTATTTAGAGGTTACCTCCCAGAAACTGGGGACAAAGGCCAAATTCTTTATCACACAACTGCTCAATCATACCCAGAAATGAGTTAAAAATGATTTCTGTAGTGCAGGTCACATTCTATTATAAAAACTGAGAAACAAAATCAATGCTCTCACTCTCATAATAAGCCATTCAAACATCACAGAAAAGTTGACTGGTCACTACCTGCTGATAATGGTAGAATTGTTCTGTGGAAATATTTTTGGGTACATTCCAGTATATGGAAAAAAAATAAGAAAATAGAGTATTTTCTCCCAGAGTTCAATACCACAGCAGGTATCAGAAACAGAAAATGTATTCTTAATCAGAAAATGTATTCTTAATCATTAGTGAAGACTGTGTGTGTCTGAGGGGAGAGGGGATGTACTCAGGAATGACCACAGAGGCCAGGAAATTCTAAAGAGAATGATTTCTACATTTGCCTACAGAACAAATCAGAAGTAAAATCATAGCTCATATACTTGAACAGCTTACATTAGTGTACATTTCATTATCTATGATCCACCTGCTGAGGAATTATGTTAAGATATTGTTAAATCCAGTGTAACAAAGTGCTTTGGAATGTCTTTTCTGAAGGGAGCCTGCCTGGGTTAAAATATTTATTCATTATTCACTTACCAACTGTGTGCCTCAGGAAAGTAATTCACTTGCCATGAGGATATTAATAATATTCGCTAAGAAAAATTGTTAAATTTTACTAAAAAAATTTCAAGAAAATGATTAAATAAAACCGGACTCAGCAAATATTTAATTAAGCTAATGGTAATAGTAGTAGTAGGAAAAGTGATATCAGTAGGACTTCTCACACACTTTTCTCATCTAAACTATGCAGGGTTATTTAAATTACAAATTAAAAATCCAAAAGTATGCCTGTTAAAACGGAGAGAACACTAATTTTAATTGAAATACATTTTTAAAAAAGAAGAGGGTAGATATATTTAGGGGGAATTAAGCTCCAGCTTTTACCCTTGGTGTGCAGTTTTCAATAGTTCAGCAATTGTTCCACAGACGGCAGCAAGAAAAAGTGCATGCTTGATAGTGAGGCCAACAAAGAGATTCCTCTTTTTCTCTCTTTTGCATTGTTTGAATTCCTCCATAACCGTGTATCTCATTTAGCCAAGTGGCCACTTCCACTTAGTGAACAAGGGGCATCCCCTTGTTTGTTTCTGGCTGCCACTGAATTTGTAAGTGTTTTGTTTTCATTGATACTGATAAGTCTACTTTGAAATTTCCTCTTCTTAACACATTGCCCAAAGTATGAGTATTAGTCAGTGTTCTGCAGAGAGATAAAAACCAAACACCGAATGTTCTCACTCATAGGTGGGAATAGAACAATGAGAACACATGGACACAGGAAGGGGAACATCACGCACTGGGGCCTGTTTTGGGGTGGGGGTAGGGGGGAGGGATAGCACTAGGAGATATACCTAATGGTTAAGTGACGAGTTACTGGGTGCAGCACACCAACATGGCACATGTATACATATGTAACTAACCTGCACGTTGTGCATATGAACCCTAAAACTTAAAGTATAATAAAAAAAAGAAAAAAAAACCAGTAAGACAGATAAATGATAGATAGATGATAGATAGATAGATAGATAGATAGATAGATAGATAGATAGATAGATAACATAGATAGATGCATAGATAGATAGAAGAAAGGGAATTTATTAGGAAAATTGGCTTATGGGATTATGGAAGCTGAGAAGTCTTATGATACGCTGTCTGAATTTGCAGATCCAGGGATATTAGTAGGTTGGTTCAGTCCAAATCCAAAAGCCTCAGAAGCAGGCAAGCTGATGGTATAACTTTCAGTTGGAGGCCAGAGGCCTGAGATCCCAGGGGGCTGTGGGTGCAAGTCCCAGAGTCCAAAAGCCAGAGAGCCTGAGGATTCGATGTCCAAGGGCAGAAGTATGTCCCAAATTCAGGTGAGACTGAATTCGCCTTTCTCCTACCTTTTTATTTTACTTGGTCTTCAGCTGATTGGATGCTGCCTCCCACATTGAGGGTGAATCTTCCTTACTCAGTCCACTGATTTCAAATGGCAGTCTGTTCTGGAAACTCCCACAGATATACCCAGAAACAATGCTTTACTAGCTATTTATGTACCCCTTAGTCCAGCAAGGTTGACACCTCAACTTAACCATCACAGTAGGGTTTCTTTTATCCTCCAGTCATCCAAGGCTCATTTCCTTACCATATTGTCAGTCTCTCAGTTACTACCTAAGAAACTGTATAAACCCTTAACCTTGCTATTATTGTTATTGTGTATTTTTTCTAAGGCAATGGAAACACCCTCATAATTCTGCTCATTTAGAAGATACATATTTTTCTTCGTCAGTAAAATGCAGCGATCACAGGACACAATATAGATGCCTTCCGGACTGAATGTGGAATCTCCATCCTGAGCAATGCTGCCTGTTAGGAAGTCCTCTAATAACTGATTATACAAGAGAACTTCTAAGCTTTTTAAAATTATGGGGTTAGTCAACATCTAAAATTTTAACACAGGACCTAAAGACTTATGAGCTACCTGTTCATAGATATGATCAATACTGCCTGTGGTCAGTTCTGATGCATATTCTTAAATAAACCATTTTCATTTGATGAGGGGGTTTCTCTGTGCCTTTTTCTTTGTATTGGAATATTGTTCTTATATAAATCCTAATATGAATGTTTCAGTTTCCATTAAACCCCAATAAAAGGCCATCATTTGCCTTTCAAGGAGAGTAGACATGAAGGCAGCCTCAGATTATTTTCTAGTGACTACCACCAGGTGGTACTTGCAGGCCTTTGCCAAAGGCTCCATCCAGCATAAGTGTCATTGCTGACACTTCTAATATCTTTTAAGCACAAGGGTCACACGTGGTCTTATGTTATTGATCTATTGCTATGTAACAAATTTTCCCAAATGTAGGTGCTTAAAACAACACACATTTGTTTTCTCATAATTTCTGTGGATCAGGAATCTCTGTATGCCTTAGCTGGCTTCTCTGTTTCTGTCTATCACAAGACTGTAATACAGGTATTAGCCAAGGCTGGGGTCTCAACTGAACTCTAGACTAAGAATGAATCTGCTTTTATGCTCATGTGGTTGTTAGCAAGATTCATTTCCTTGTGAGGTGTTAGAATGAGAGTCTCAGTTCTTTGCTAGCTGTTGTTCAGGGAATTTCTCATTTCCTTGTCCATGTGGACCTCATATATATGGCTCTTCCCTTTATTGAAGCCAACAAGATAGCAAGGCAGAACTCATATTTTGTATAAACTAATTAAGAAAGTGACATCTCATCTCCTTTGCTGTATTCTGTTGATAAGGAGCAAGTCACTAAACCAGCCTATACTCAAATAAGAGAGATTGCATAAGAGTGAAAATACTAAGAGGTGAAGAATATTAGGGGCCAAATTAAAATCTACCTGCTATAATGATCAACACAGCAATGGCTCTGTGTTCAGGCAACTCTAGGGTTGTTTAGGTTGCCATTTAATTCCAGATTATTTCACAACTTTGTGGATAGGAAGTAAGACACTATCCAGACAGGGTACACGATTTCTTCAGAAACCAGGCAACCAGAGCAATCTTTCTGTATCATCTTCTGATTTTGGAACTGGAAAAGCACAATAATTTATTTTTGGTTGATTGAGGAATGTCTTTAGTTACTCTGGCCCAAGTAATAAACATGAATTTTACTATTTGTCCTGTACTTCATTCAAATTAATCCATATAATCAGTAATGTAACTCTTCCCTGGGTATTTATATAAATAACCATTACTTTTCATTCATTTTTAGCTTAATCTTCAGGTTAAAATATATATCAGCATTATATCATCAACATAATAACAATAGCTTTCAATTAAATCAAAATTGTTTCTTCTTACTGAGTGGTGTCAACACATACACAAATTTAAATGTCCTTCTAGGAGAACAATAAATGTGTATTTTGTTTCATCTCACATTAATGAAAATTGGCCCTGGGTTTTCCATCACAAAATACCAATTTACCTTCACAATGTGAATTAACACCATATCAGGCATAGCTGATGCTGTTGTAGACATCACTTTACTCAATATTTGGCTGTCCATAGTTAATCTGCAGGATCCATCAGTTTTTCTCACAAACACTGCTAGACTGTGAAGCAATAAATGCATAGGTACTGTTACACCTGCAGCTAATATATCATTATTTAAAACTGAAATTTCTGGATGTCCCCCAAACAAACAACATTGTTTCAAATTAAGCATGTCAGTGGATTTAAATAATTCTAAAGCTCTCATTTAGCATGCCTAACTAAAAGAAGATATGGAGCCAATTTGGACAATATCCGTTCCCTTAATATTTGAGAGAAGGAAGAATACCCATTTAAATATCGCATACATTTAAACAATATATTCTGGTAAATGTGTCAGGATTTGATAACTTCCTTGCTCATCCTACAACATTCTCACCGTTGCAAAATTATTTTCTCTATTTGATTGATACAATATATGAAATTTAAGAGTGTGCCATATTTTACTGGACACTATTTCATGTTTCAGGAAGACATTTTTACCTATTGATTTCTAACACAAAAAGATACTGTGTTTGTGAAGGCAACTTTTTGTAATACTAAAATGAGAAGTAATTTGAGCTGCAGGATTTATCAATATTATCGATGGCTAATTTTCTACTTTTGTGTAGTAAAAGCTTTGATTTCTCAAATTATCATTAATGCATTTAAAAACACATTGAAATCACAAAATGAATAGAATTATTTGTATATGTTCTTTCTTATCAATTCCTGAAATATTTTCAAATGGTGACCCTTTATAATTAATGTGAATTTTAAAATTACCCATAAAACCGTTCATGTTTTCTTAGAATTATTGTAGTTATACAATATCACATTATATTAGAACTGTTATCTATAAAATAAATGACCTCCACTAAACTTGACTTGCATCAAAAACCAACAGTTTCAGTATTTTATTATATGATAAATGTGGTAGCAAATATGGGAAGCATGCCCAAATACGGACAGATGAGTAGTTCATTGTGACAGCTGTGGCTTGACAAAATCATTATCAGTCTCATACTAATATTATTTTTTCCCTGTGTCTCTCTTGCTATAACTAAATTTCATTAACACTTTAGGAAATATGAGCCTTTCTCCATCTGGCACATGGCTTTTAAAACTCATTTACTGTAATTTACAAAATCTGCAAACAGCTGGCAAAAATATATTTTTATTAAGTTTTTAGCATATGATTTGAAAGATCTGTAACTTTGTCCACATCCCTAAAGCCCAGAATATTTTCTTCATTTTCCAACTGTGGAATCTCCACAATTTCTTTCTAAATTGTAAGAAATTAGGTGGCTTTGTCTTTAATTATCAACTGGTACATTAAGTTCTCATATTTAAATTTTAAATATGGGTAATTCAACTGATCTTTATCCTTGAAAATATTAAAAGTATGAGAGGCTTCTTTTTTGTTTATTTGTTTGTTTTTACAATAAAGTTTTTAAACTGTACCTCTCAATACATAACACTGAATGACTAATTACTGTGTTTCCAGCTTTAGACTTTCTTTTGATATATTATACACCATATGAATGTTTTCTATTGATAAAATCAGTTCATCTTTATAGTCCCTTATATCTTTATGATATGTGAGAAATCACAACATTTAATATTAAACAGTAATATTAGTAATTTTTAATAAAGTTTGTTCCTAGAAAGTACAAATAAAGGAATAATAAATATGTTGTATATAAATACAAACAATCATATAAACATATGTGGTTTGTAAAAGTTAGAAAAATTTGCAATAGGATATTGTAAAGACAAAAGCATACGTTTTTTCTCTCTACTCTTTTACATGGACATTCAAAAGAATATTTCTGATTCCAGATTCTCCAGTGGAAACCAAACTAGTGTTTTGTAATTTAACTCAATTCTGACACTGCCAACCTGGGGACAGCATCAGATCTCACAGACTGAAGGCTCAGTCCCACAAGATTGACCCAACTTCAGACACCAATCTTGAGAACTAGGTTATCACCTATACTTTTGACTGACCAACTATAAATGGGAGGTTTCCAAGACAGCCTCCTGCGTTTTGGTTAATTTCTACAGCAGCTAATAGAGCTCAGAGAAACGCTTTACTTACATCTGCCCATTTCTTATAAGAGGCATTACAAAGGATATAGATCAATAGTCAGATGAAAGTGGCAAAGAGTTTCCATGCCTCTATAGGTGTGGCATTCTTTAGAGGGTCCTTGAACCCTGTCCTATTGGGTTCTTATGAAAGCTGTGTTATGTAGGCATGAATGATTATATCGTGAGCTACTGGTAATCAACTCAACCTTCAGCCTTTCCTCTGTCTCTGGAAGTCATGGGGTGGGGCTGAATATTCTAATCCTCTTATTGCATGGTTGGTTTCCTTGGCAACCAGCTCCTGTCTTGAGACTCTCTGTGAGCCCACCAAGAGTTGCTTCATTAGAACAAAAGATGATCCTATCATCCAGGAAATTGCCAAGGATTTAGGAGATCTGTGTCAGGAACTGAGGTCAAAGTCCAAATATTGGAACAGAAGATTCTCTTAGTACCCCTATCTATAAAAGTTTCAGGAGCCGTATGTCAAGAACTGAAGGAAAAAAACAAATAGATATTTCTTCTTATATTACAACAGTACAGATATTCAACAAGGGCAGGTAATAATAACTATAAAATATTTACGTAAATAAATTTGAGTTATGTTTGTTAAAGTAGGTGACTAGATGTCCTGAAAACAAAAAGGCTGCAGTTAGGAGTACGTGAACTCTTTATGAAAGTTCTTAAATTCATTAAAGAAGGAGCTAGATAGAATATTTAAGGGAACATGGGGACCCAGAATCAGAGACAGTTTTGTCCTGGAGACATTATCACAAAAATTATGAACTTGACAAATTTTGGTTCTCCTTGACACAGTATATACCAAGAGATGAGAACACAGTCCCAAACACCTTCCCCAGTTGATTTCAATAACCTTTTGATATAAATCTACTATCAGATTATTTAATCACCCAGGTACTAAGTCTAGTACCCAGTAGTTATTTTTTCTGCTATCAAACCCCGATGACATGAGTTTACCTACATAACAGACCTATACATGTAACCCTGAACCTAAAATAAAAGTTAAAAAAATTAAATATCTACAGTCACACAAAGTTATAATTTTTGTGAAAGTGAGAAGCAAGTCTAAAACCCTTCCAACTTCCTCATCACAAGAAGATTACAATAAAAGTTACTGATCTTAGAGCAGGAGGTCTAGTAAGGATTTCCTTGAGATTGTATAATCAAAAGAAAATCTTAACATAGATTTGCAAGCCAAGATCACATAATATTTTAATCCAAAAGATGGTTTTCCTAAATGTCTAAGATAAGCAAATACATATAATTTCTGAAATCATTTACCCCAAATGATTTCATGAATAATTGTCATGGGAAAATGACATAGTCAAAAAAGAAAATCCAAACGGATGAACAGACTTCCTGTGATCATATAAAATAAGACTTAAAACTGTAAAGATGTCAGTTATCTCTAAATTGGGATATAGATTTAAAGCCATATCAATCAAAATCCTAATTCCAAAAATTTACTTTGTTGACAGTCCTGAACAAAATTTTAAAAAATATATCTGAAAATACAAAGAACCAAGAATAGTGAAGATACCATTAGAGAAGAATAACAGAGCTAATGAACTTTTCTTAATCATGAGATTTGTCATCAAGGTACAGTAATTCAGACAGAATTATATTAATATAATATGGCATATGGAAACATAGCAACACAGAAAAGAGAGATCAGAAATAGACTCATTTTATGGACACTTGATATTTAATTGAGATTTTATCACAAATCAGTGAGCAAAGGATAGATTTTTAAAATAAATGATGCTGAATGATTGAATCTACTATAATGCAACTTTTCCAGTTGACATCAATGTGCTTCATTTTCTCTGTCCAGAAAGTGAGCATAACAATAGCATGCCTATATCAGAGGTTTCTTTTAGGGATTAATTGAGTTAATATATTAAAATAATGCAGTAATTTTATGTATTCCAAGGGCTTCCTAAATGGGCAAATGTACAGACTTTTATTTCAATATTTGTTTACAGAAGAATAAAATAGTATGTCTCTAAATCTTTTTCTACTTTTTCTGTAATGTTTACTTTCATGAGAAAATAAATGTGATGCCATTTATTTATAATGATATGCCAAATGCAGGTTGTTATTTCTCACAATTATAATTTAGTGTCATAATTTAACAGGGTATAAAGTTGGAAAACATTATAGAAAAACTACTTTTTGTTTTTGATTGTGAAAATCTCTACTGACATAGAAGGCATGGCAACATGATCAATCAGTTGCACAATTGGGCTCTAGGTAAGTAATATATATATTAAAATTTTGAGATGAATAGCTGACACCTAGTAAACATGATATGTATTAGTATGTCATAATTACCTTCATTATCCCTAATTATTTTCAATGTCACTTTCAAAAAGTGACACTGCAGCACAGACAGGGTAAGTAATATATCCAAATTTACAAAGTTTGTTAGTGGTAGTGCCTGTGTTGGAGTCCAGGCAATTTGGTTCTAAAGTTCACGCTGTTAATCACCATCTCTTAGAATTCATTATTTTAAGTATCCTTAGTCCTTACAAATGCAGGCTGTATTAAGTTAGATTTCTTTTAGAGCTCATGTTACATGGCATAGTCTATCATAATTGTTCATTATAATAGTACTCAATTAGTGACCAGTTTTAACATTTCCAACCACAAACATGTGCACAAACACATACCCAGAATAATTCCTGGAAAATAACGAGGTCTGGCCGGGCGTGGTGGCTCATGCCTGTAATCCCAGCATGTTGGGAGGCCCAGGTGGGCGGATCACCAGGTCAGGAGTTCCAGACCAGCCTGGCCAACATAGTGAAACCCTGTCTCTATTAAAAATTCAAAAATTAGCTGGGTGTGGTGGCATGCACCTGTAGTCTCAGCTACTCGGGAGGCTGAGGCAGGAGAATTGCTTGAACCCAGGAGGCGGAGGTTGCAGTACGCCAAGACCGCTCCATTGTACTCCAGCCTGGGTGACAGAGTGAGACTCTGTTTCAAAAAAAAAAGAAAGAAAATAACTTGGGGTCTAATACACTCTTAGATGTCTTACCTTCTGACAGCACCCCTTAGTAAGGTGACAGATATAGCTTAGGAGCTAGTGCTAAGACAGACTTAAGTTTACATGTGTAGTTATAAATCACCTATTTTCATGAATTTTTTATTCATCTTATAAGAATTCCTGAAAATGACATTGTAAAATTTGTTTATTCAACAATTTGTTACCTGCTGTTCTCAAGATATTCTGCCTTTCTTCTTAAAGTATGATCTGAACACCATCATTTAACAACATTACCTGAAAACTTCTAAAAAACACAGAATCTCAGACCTCATTTGAGATCTACCAAACCCAAATCCTTGTTTTTCAAAGACCCCGGGTGGTGTATGTGCACATTAAAATTTAATACTCAATGCTTAAGAATATCCAATGGACTCTACCTTTTAGTAGCTTACATTCTGTTCTACTGCACTGTATGGTAGCCACCAGTCATGTGTGGCATTTACACTTAAATGTAACTTATTTTAAATGAAACAGCAAGAAAATTCATTTCTTCTGTAATACTCCACTCCCCATAGTTTAAGTGTTAAATAATTACTCCTGTAAGAGTGAATATTGTCTTGGATATCTGTGATGTAAAATATTTCCATCATTGCTGAAAGTAATATTGAAAGTGCTGCTCTGCAGCAAAAATCAACAATTTTTATTTTTACTTTTTGTAAAGAGTCAAGAAATAAATATTTCAGGTTCTGCAGCCTATATGCAGTCTCTTTTCTCCTTCTCCTCCCTCTACTTCTTCTTTAACAAGCCATTTAAAAAATGGTAAGCAATACTTGGTTAGTGGGTAAACAAAAAATTAATTAATTAAAAAAAATAGAAAAACATGCTGTGGAGTGAATGTGGTGTATAGGCCATAGTATGTAGATGCCCATTCTAGGTAACAATTTTTTAGATAAAACAAGTGATTAAATAATACTTACAAGAAGAGATGTGCAAAGTACTCTGTTGGGTGCAAAAGGCCTAAAATAAAAACTAAAAACCTACACAACTTCTAGATTTTCTTGTCATTGAAGGCATTCCTTAATTTTAATCTGATTTTTTTCTAAGAAAAGACAGAGGTGGTACAAAAAATATCTTGAGTTTCACTCAGTGCTAAATCAGCCTTGCCATCAAACATAGCTGCACCAGGGAGGAATGGAAGATTATCATTCTAAATTGACAACAATTTCACACCAGTAACTGGAGGCACAGAGTAGCCATTTCAAGACACAATAATGATGATAACAAATTAACTGAAATAGTCCCCTTTATTACTGGCTCCTCTTTACAAAGACCTCAGAGCCCTGTAAAGTATTACAGAATTGTTTCTGTGAGAAGCTTGGGGTATTTCAGTTGCTCTTTTAACAAAAAATGCACCATTATAGTTCCCTTATTTACCACTTGCGTGCATGGAAATTGTGTTTCCTTCTGTAATCCTAACCCCAAAACCCACTCACAGTTAACTCTTTTTGAGATTACACTAAATTATAAAGTTCTCCAGGCAATGGGAACTTTATAAAGTTCTCCAGGCATGGTGAAACCTCGTTTCTACTAAAAATACATAAATTTAGCCAGGTGTGGTGGCGAATGCCTGTGGTCCCAGCTACTTGTGAGGCTGAGTTGGGAGAATTGCTTGAACTGGGGAGACGAAGGTGGCAATGAGGCGAGATCACGGTACTGAACTCCAGCCTGGGTGACAGAGTGAGACTCTGTTTCAAAAACAGGCAATAAATACAATAAAAATAAAATTTTCCATTTTATTCAGGTTAAACATCTCAAACTAGTTTATGGTGCTTAATCTGTCCCTGTATCTAAAACTGGCCATTACTTCTGCTTGTAAATAGCCTTTTATTGTAAGTAGGAAAAAAACTCTTCTATCTCAAACTCATTAAATTATTTGTCTGATTATGTAAATTGTAAATGTTTTAATAATGGAGTTACACGAAATACATAATGCCACTGACAACTAATTACATTGTAAATTGCATTATAGCATGTTTTCTATTTCAATTTTACTCCTCAGCCAGGAGGTATAAAATTTGTAGCTAAGTATTCAAAGTATAATTACTTTAATAAATGTGCCATTCTTTGCATATATATTCAAGCTCCTTTTCATTAAAAGAATTATAACTATGCTTCAACAAAAATAACTTGATTCTTCCCATATCTAAAGGTAATTACATTTTAAAACTATAACCTTCAAATGGAAAAGTGTTAACCTTGAAAGCATACTGACGATACTTACCAGACACATAGATGTAAGTTAACTAAACTCTATTTTCGTATTGTGCAAGGTTTGTTTCAAAATGTTTATTAATTGATTTCTTATTAAAAAAGACAAACTAAAGTATATGGGAACTAATATAAATATATAAATATCTGTAACTGTAGATATAGAAATAGTAGCTTTTTAGGCAAAGGCTATCCAAAAGAATTAGATTATATATGAAGACAACTACAGATACAAACTACAAACCACTCAGGGCAGAGAAGGCAAAAAGGCAAAAATATATTTTACACATTCATTGCTTGGTTGTTAAGACACTATGCCTTGGCAATACAGTAGATCTGTTCCCCATAAAATCACCTCATCAATTCACACTACACAAAGAAAGTTAGAAGAAAAAGTTTAAAGTTGATGACTCAAATAAAAACCCAGACTCTAGACAGACGAGATATTTTGTACAACACATCATTTGAATATTATATATTCATATCTCTATTTGAATACGTCCTATTATCTGCAGGTTACATAAGGAGCACAAGTCTAGGAAACAAATTCTAATGCTTTGCTAAAAAAAATCTTATGCTCTCCAAGTGGCCAAGTAATCAATCTAAACTTCAGTGTACACCTGTGGAAAAAAAATGAGTTTACACTGTTGGCTCAGACTTTTATCCTAAGCAACTCTTGGATTCATGTACTTTGTTTCCTCCAGATTTTGCTCAGTGCACTTTCCCTCTGCTAATTTTGATATGTATAATTTTGCTATGATAAACCATAACTTTGAGGGTAACAACTTTTGGGTGCTGTGAGTCCTTCTAGTCTGCTGGTCAGATTGGCCCTTGGCTGGTGTCTAGAAACTTGGTGGGTAAATGGTTCCTCATCAGCCTTGACATTCAAACCAAATTTTGGGTGCTGATCTATCCTGCTCTGTAGGCTGACCACAAGACAGAGGATGCGTACAGCAACAGCTTCTGTGCAAACCTTGAATACTGATTCTCTAATGATATTTCCTTAGAGACAACACTTAAAGCATTTTGTCACACTGTTTGCTGGAAAAATTAAGTGGGTCCTATGCTGCTCCACTGGGAAAGAATATGAACCTGATTTCATCCAGATTTTGCCCTATGCACTTTCCCTTTGCTGATTTTGATTTGTATAATTTTGCTATGATAAACCATATCCTTGAGTATAACAACTTTTGAGTGTTGTGAGCCCTTCTGATGAATTACTGAACCTCAGTGATATTAGGGACCATCACATAACATGTTAATAGTTTTGCAGAGGACTAAATTAGACTCAGAAGTATGCATAACTCTCCTCTTGATGTCACGTCTATCTCCTATTATTACTTACCTAGAGCCCAATTGTGCAACTGATTGATCATGTTGCCATGCCTTCTATGTCAGTAGAGATTTTCACAAGCAAAAACAAAAAGTAGTTTTTCTATAATGTTTTCCAACTTTATACCCTGTTAAATTATGACACTAAATTATAATTGTGAGAAATAACAACCTGCATTTGGCATATCATTATAAATAAATGGCATCACATTTATTTTCTAATGAAAGTAAACATTACAGAAAAAGTAGAAAAAGATTTAGAGACATACTATTTTATTCTTCTGTAAACAAATATTGAAATAAAAGTCTGTACATTTGCCCATTTAGGAAGCCCTTGGAATACATAAAATTACTGCATTTATTTACATAACTATAAATATTATTTAGAAATTGAATTCATTTTAAAACTGATTCTGACAAAACGATGGTGTCCTTTTTTTTTAATTTGAATCCTTGCTCTCATTATGAAAACAACTTATGTTTATGGTTACCTTGTAAAATGTAGAAAAATAAACCTGTAATAACAAAATGATAAGCATTTTTGTCTTCCCATTGTCCAGGGATAGCTTTGCTATGACTTTAGTGTATGCCCTTTGCCTGTGTATGCCTCACTCTATTTTTTCTTTCTCTGCATATATAGTCGAACTAATTAAAAATTTAAAGCACCATTCACTTAAAAAGTATGTTACAAATATTTTATGTTTTTGTTTCTAGAAATGATTTTTATGATCTAACATCATAACTTTACTATTAGCATTTCTTATTGGTGTAGCGGAAACATGAACAGGTTTTCAAAAGATGGGGGATAGCAGGAACAACTTTATACCAATTAATTGGACAATTTTTGTGAAAGTGGTAATTTTTGAGAAACACAATGTACCAAAACAAATAAAGGAAGCAATAGGTATTCTGAAAGTCTGATATCTATTACAAAATTAAAATCTATTATTTAAAAAAACTATAAAAATAAACTCATATGCTTAGACCCACATAGATTCATCATATTCTTCCAAATACTTAAGAAATTCATATCAAATTTATACATAACCATCCAGATAATGAAAAATGAAGGAAGAAATAACAATTATTTTTATGAGGCCACAGTAGCAATGATACTAACACAGGATAAATTTATTACAAGAAGAGAAAAATGCAGAAACATCATGTCCGGAACATAGATTTAATAATCATTGATGAAATATTAGCAAAAGAAATTAGGCAATAAGGAAAGGGATAAATTCATTGACCAAAGCAGGTTAATTCATAGATGAAATAGTAAGTTAGCATCTGCAAACATTCAATATAATTCATAACGTTAACAAAAATCGAAGGTCATATCATTTCAATAAAGAAAACTTAATAAATAATAATAAATGTACTCATAATATTCACTTTCAGTAAAGTAGAAATAGAGAATGACCTTTTTATTAAAATAAAGAGTAATACTGGCCAGGTGTGGTGGCTCAAGCCTGTAACCCCAGCACTTTGGGAGACTGAGGCAGGTAGATCGCTTGAACCCAGGAGTTCGAGTCCAACCTAAACAAGATAGTGAGACTCACTTTCTACAAAAATTGCAAGAATTATTCAGGTGTAGTGCTGTGCACCTGTAATCCCAGTTACGCAAGTTGCTTAGCTAGGAGGATTGCTGGACTCCAGGACGTTGAGGCTGCAGTGAGCCATCATTGTGCTACTGCACTCCAGCCAGATCAACAGAGTTAGACCCTGTCTCAAAAAAAAAAAAGAAAAGAAAAGAAAAAAGAAAAAGAAAAGAAAAAAGAGTAATACCTCAGTGGAGTGACATCACCAAAAATGGCAGAATGCAAGTAATCTGGCTTCACTCCCCGACAGAAAACCAAAACCAAATATCCAGCACCAGGATCATCACCAGCAGTATCACATGTACTTCAAAAATATGTACAACTATTACGTATTGATAAAAAATAAAACCAATAAAAACATAATAGTTCAGAAAACTACAACAAAGTACAAAGATGACAAATAATAGTGAAGTAGGAACAAGTTGACTCTGAGTTCTGCATGAGACAAGGATGCCTGATATCGTGTATACTACAAATCATTCTACAGAACTGGGGCACAGCCAGACAAGAAGGCCAAAAATTTCCACCAACACCAGTACAATACAGGGCAATACAATACAATACAAGACAAATAAAGACAATACAATGCAACACCATAAGAAAATTTTTAAAATAAAAGATATATTATTTGGAAAAAAAAAAGAGATGATTGCACTTAATGTACCAGCTCAAGTCCAGCTGTTTGGTGCTCAGAGTCAAAACATGAGAAGCTAGGTGTGGTAAAGGAAAGCAGCTTTTATCAACCAAATGCCAGCAGATGGGAGAATGGCTGGCCTCAAGCCTCAAAGGAACCATCTCAGCCTTCTGGGCTGAGTGAAGGGGTTTAGGAAGTAAAATTTGGTGTGGGGAATATACAGGGGTGGGGCAAGAGGGCGCAGCTCTGCGTGTCTTGTTCTGAATGTTATCTTGCATAATCACCTGTCTGGAGGTTGGGTTTGTGTCATGCTGACTTTGGCCCAGTAGTGGTAGACTAAGCAGGGGGATTTGGCAGCTTGATGTCTATCCCTGATTTGATTCAAATTGGCCCCTGGAACTTCTTTCTTTTGGGGGAGGGGGATTTTTTTAATTATTTGTAATTAATATATAATAATTATATATATTTACAAGGTAAAATGTAATTTTTTAAAAATTTCAACTTTTAGGTATATGGGGTATATATGCAGGTTTGTTACATGAGGATATTGGGTGATGAAATTTGGGATAAGGATCCCATCACTCAGGCAATGAGCATAGGACTCAATAGGTAGTTTTTCAACCCATCCCCCCCTTGCCCTCCCTGTTCCAGCAGTCTTCAATGTCTATTATTCCAACATTGATATTCATGTGTGCTCAATGTCTAGCTCCCACTTATAAGTTAGAACATGCCGTATTTGTTTGTCTGTTCCTGCATTAATTCACTTAAGATTATAACCTCCCACTGCATCCATGTTGCTGCAAGGGACGTGATTCTATTTTTTATGGCTGCATAGAATTAATGGTGTATATGCACCACATTTTCTTTATCCAGTCTACCATTGATGTACACCTGGTTTGATTCCATGTCTTTGCTATCATGAATAGCACAGCAATAAGCATACATCTGCATGTGTCCTTTTGGTAGAATCATTTATTTGCCTTTGGGTACATACCCAGTAATTAAATTGCTGGGTTGAATGGTAGCTCTGTTTTAAGGTTTTTGAGAAATCTCCAGACTGCTTTCCACAGTGGCTGTACTAATTTACATTCCTACCAACAGTGTATAAGTTTTCCCTTTCTTCCACACTCTCACCAGCATCTGTTTATTGACTTTTTAATAGTAGCTATTCTGACTGGTGTGCAGTGGTATCCCATTGTGATTTTGATTTGCATTTCTTGCATGATTCGTGATGCTGAGCATTTTGTCATCTGTTTGTTAGCTACTTGCATGTCTTCTTTTGAGAAGTTTCTGTTCATATTTTTTGCCCATTTTGTTAATGGAGTTATTTGGTGTTTTTTGTTTTGTTTTGTTTTGTTTTGTTTTGTTTTGTTTTTGCTTGTTGATTTAAGTTCCCAATAGATTCAGGTTATTAGGACTTTGTTGGATGTATTGTTTATGAATATCTTCTCCCATTATGTAGGCTGTTTGTTTGCTCTGTTGATAGTTTCTTTTGCTATGCAGAATCTCTTTAATTAACTAATTACTAATTTTATTAGTAATTAGTTTAATTAGGTCCCACTTGTCTACTTTTGTTTTCGTTACTTTTGTTTTTGTTACAATTGCTTTTGCAGACTTACTCCAAATTCATTGCAAGGCTGATATCAAGAAGAGTATTTTCAAAGTTGCTGCCTAAAATTGTCATAGTTTGAGGTTTTTCATTTAAATCTTTGATACATTTTGAGTTAATTTTTTGTATATAGTGAAAGGTAGGGATCCAACTTCAGTCTTTGATGTATGGCTTAACAGTTATCCAAGCACCATTCATTGAATAAAGAATCCTTTCTCCATTGCATGTTTTTGTCTGCCTTGTACAAGATCAGATGGTTGTAGGTGTGTAACTTTAAGTTTTCTATTCTGTTTTGTTGATATACATGTCTGTTTTTGTACCAGTACCATGCTGTTTTGGTTACTGTAGCTTTATAGTATAGTTTAAAATTGCCCCTAGAATTTCTAAGCAAGCATGTAATTAGATAAGGGAGTGCTGTGCATAGAAAGTGCTGGTGGGAAAGGGAGATAAATAAAAAGTTTTGGGCCAGGCGCAGTGGCTCATGCCTGTAATACCAGCACTTTGGGAGGCCGAGGCAGGCAGATCATCTGAGGTCAGGAGTTCAAGATCAGCCTGGACAACATGGTGAAACCACGTCTACATTAAAGATACAAAAAATTAGAAGGACGTGGTGGTGTGAGCCTGTAATCCAAGCTCTTCAGGAGGCTAAGGCAGGAGAATTGTCTGAGCTCAGGAGGTGGAGGTTGCAGTGCGCTGAGATCATGCCATTGCACTCCAGCCTGGGTGACATAGCAAGACTTAGTCTGAAAAAAAAAATAGTTTTCAAAGTACAAGGCTATATTCTGAGATTCGGATGGAAAGAAAAAAAATTCAAAATTAATTTCAAGGCTAAGATACTCAGTTACATTACTTTCAAATATCACTATATAAGCACCAGAATGGCTAATGTAAGAAAAATGCACAAAACAAAATGTTTAGGAAGTCTCAAACTGCTTACAATATCGTAATTACTGTTGGTAATGAAATTTGAAAAAATAACCATATGAATATTCTATAACTCAGTAATTTTATTTCCAGGTAAATAGCTAACAGAAATGTGTTTACACTTTTACAAGAAGAAATGTACATTATACATTAAAATCAGAAACTGTCTATCAGCTAAATGCTCATCAACTTCAGAATAGCATTTTGTTATGTAATAGAATATTATTTAGTAATTAGAATAAGTACATAGAATGATATAGAATAGTCTTATGAGGATAATATTTATGAAAGACCAAGATCCAAGAATATGTTCTATATGAATGTATATCAAGACAGAAAAAACTCATCTTTGGTTTTGAAAATCAAGATAGGGCTTACATTTTTGTAGGTGGAGTTAGTGACAGAAAAGAGACAAAAAGAGTACTGGTAATTTTCTGATTTTTGAGTGATTAAGTTTTAAATAGATGCTTCTCAGTTTACATTTTAAATAAAATTATCAGTACAGTATTATCTAAAACCTGTATATAAATTTTGATGTGTATTAATAATAAAATTTCATGGTCTATATAACTTTTTTATTATAACTTTCATTTTAGGTTCAAAGTTACATGTGCAGGTTTGTATATAGGTAAACTGTGTGTCACTGGGGTTTGGTGTACAGATTATTTTGTCACCCAGGTAATAAGCGTAATGCCTAATAGGTATTTTTTTCTGATCCTGTTCCTCCTCCTACCTCCACCCAAAAGCGGGCCCCAGTGTCAGTTGTTTCCCTCTTTGTGTCCATGTGTTCATGTTGTTTAGCTACCACTTATAAGTGAGAACAGGCAGGATTTGTTTCTCTGTGTCTCTGTTAGTTTGCTAAGAATAATAGACTCCAGCTCCATTCACGTTGCTGCAAAGGACATGATCTCATTCTTCTTTATGGCTGTGTGTGATTCTATGATGTATGTGTACCACATTTTCTTTATCTAGTCTACCATTGATGGGCATTGAGGTTGATTCCATGTCATTGCTATTGTCAAGAGTGCTGCAATGAACATGCAGGTGTGTGTGTCTTTATGGTAGGGCAATTTATATTCTTTTGAGTGTATAACCAGTAGTGGGATTGTTGGCTCAAATGGTAATTCTGTTTCAGGTTCTTAGAGGAATTGCCACACTGCTTTCCACAGTGGCTGAACTCATTTACAGTTCCACCAGGAGTGTACAAGTGTTCCCTTTTCTCTGCAACCTTGCTAGCTTTTGTTAATTTTTGACTTTTTAATCATAGCCATTCTGACTGGTGTGAGACGGTATCTCGTTGTGGTTTTGATTTGCATTTCTCTAATGATTAGTGATGTTGAACATTTTTTTTTCCTATGCTTGCTTGGCCTATATAGCTCTTATTTTGATAAGAGAGATTTCATCAGTTAAGTACTGTATTTTGAAATGTCCCTTTGTTATGCCAGAAATTTTTACTCCCAGGTTACTGTTCTATGGTAAGACTTCAAATATGTGAGAGATATATGAGAGGACAATTGCAAAAGGGTAGGCAAGAAAGGATTAGCAGATGAATTCCTGAAAAAAATAAGTTTTAAAGAAGCATGTAAAAAAAGGATGAGATTCTGAAATTTCATTATGTTTAGACATTTATAGTCTCATGAACTTTGGAAAGTTTCATGCTTCCTGACATAATTATACTATACTGTTTGTCTTTCAACTGCATCACGGTATGTATATTCAACTATAAGAACATTTTACAGTAGGCACAGATGTAAAGAAGTGTTCCATGAAAGAGGCTCATTCAAAGTGATAAGGACTGAGGGGTGAGTTAGAAAGGATAATCCATGTGAATTTTGTAGAGAAATGGAGATTCATGTGTGATAGAAGTGAATTCTCTGGGACCACCTATACGCTATTTAACCTTTCTGCCATAATAAATGGAGAGAAAAATGAGATGGAAAGAGAAACACATAATTAGCCAATTATCTAGAAAATAAACTAAATAGATGCTCATGGGTTTTATTTGAAAGAAAATTATAATTTCATTTGACCACATAAGGGCATTTTATATAAAGGTGGAAGAAAATAATTACAAAGGCAAACACACTTATTTTAAAATTGCATCTATCACAAATTATTTGCATTTTTAATGCAGGGATGATTTTTAAATTTCAGATAATTATTTTAATTATTGTTTTTATAATGCATTTTAAAATATTATTGATATTCAGACAGCAATCATGAACTATAATACATAACAAAGTATTTGCTATTCTATACATGGTTCTACAAAAGCAGATCTATTAACTTTTGATTTTATTCATGTAAAGTGACATATTGTTAAGATTCCTTAGAAATAGGCTGGGCATCGTGGCTCACACCTGTAATCCCAGCAGTTTGGGAAGCCGAGGCGGGTAAATAACCTGAGGTCAGAAGTTCCAGACCAGCCTGACCAACATGGAGAAACCCCGTCTCCACTAATAATACAAAAATTAGCCAGAGATGGTGGTGCATGCCTGTAATCCCAGCTACTCGGGAGGCTGAGGCACAACAATTGCTTGAACCCAGGAGGTGGAGATGGTGATGAGCTGAGATCATGCCATTGCACTCAAACCTGGGCAACTAGAGTGAAACTCCATCTCAAAAAAAAAAAAAAAGAAAGAAAGAAAAATAAAAGATATTTTTCTTCAAGGATAATAAAATACTTTATTTGCCATGGTGATTCATTTTTTTCCATGTTTCTATTGAAGTAGACAGTTTGATCCCTTTGAATAACATTTTAATTGAAAACCATGAACCTGAAAGTTCAAGTCTATTTACTCACACCAGGAAAGCCTTTTTTTTTTTTTTAACATCATTGTTATCTCATAACATCACTTTGATGATTTTGAATGTATCGTAGATGTTTAATGCTTATTAATATATTGTTATGGATTGAAGTTGTTGTCCATTCAACATTTATATAATGAAATGCTAACCTCCAATGTAATGGAAATGGGGACTTTGGGAGTTATTTAGGTCATTAGGGTGGAGGCCTCATGAAAGGAGTTAGTGCTCTTATAAGAAGATACATAAGAGAATTTGTTTTCTCCCTCTCTCTGTCCACCATATAAGTATATAAGAAAAAAAAAATCCATTACAAACGAGAAGAAGTGCCTTCATCAGATATTGGATCTGGTGACACCTTGATCTTGGACTTAACCTCCAGTTATGAGAAATAAATGTTTATTGTTTAAGCCACCACATCTATTGTATTTTACTATAGCAACCTGGACTGAATGAGGCATCTGTCTTGACTTCAACTATAAATTTAACATACACAAGGATTTAAGTAGCACTGAAAACAATAATGCAAGTCCTTTAGCACAATATTTCATAGCATGGAGGCTGTGTTATAAAGGTTGCTAAAAATGTATCAACCTTATGGTTCCAGATTTAAATTACTAAGATTCCCCACACAGAAAGAATGGGTATGGGCAGATGCTTTTTACTCACATTGGTTCTGTTGCTTTTTGGTGTGTTTCCTCTCTGGTCTCAAAATAGTTTTGTCTCCTTCCTGGTAAACTAATATTACTTACAGAAACTACGACTTTTCCCTTGCCTAAACATTGGTGTTGCTATGATATGCATTCCCTATAAGCTGACAGAAATAAAATTTAAAAGAAAGGAAAGAATGCAGACGCTTACCCTTAGCCTTGGATATCAACTTACAGAGACAAAATCATATTTCGCTACAAAGAACAGAAAATAAACTGAAGTCTATTATTTAAGTGTGAGTAGTTTTCCCCGATAAATAAAAATTTGTCTTCTATCCAGATAGTAAAATGTACTTCATTTGGAAGTCTCACTGTCCTGCAGAACTCTTCCTGTTTGTTTTCTTTTCCTTTCTTTCTTTTGTTTTTTGAGACAGAGTCTCACTCTGGTGCCCAGGCTGGAGTACAGTGGCGCCATTTTGGCTCACTGCAAGCTCCGCCTCCCGGGTTCATGCCATTCTCCTGCCTCAGCCTCTGGAGTAGCTGGGACTACAGGCACCCGCCACCACGCCTGGCTAAATTTTTTTGTATTTTTAGTAGAGACGGGTTTCACGTGTTAGCCAGGATGGTCTCCATCTCCTGACCTCGTGATACGCCCACCTCGGCCTCCCAAAGTGCTGGGATTACAGGCATGAGCCACTATGCCCGGCCTCCTTTCTTTTTTTTTTGTAATATTGAGAGGTGACAGCATGCTGGCAGTCCTCACAGCCCTCGCTCACTCTCGGCACCTCCTCTGCCTGGGCTCCCACTTTGGCAGCACTTGAGGAGCCCTTCAGCCCACCGCTGCACTGTGGGAGCCCCTTTCTGGGCTGGCAAAGGCCAGAGCCCACTCCCTCAGCTTGCAGGGAGCTGTGAAGGGAGAGGCGTCAGCGGGAACCGGGGCCGCTTGTGGCAATTGCGGGCCAGCTGGAGTTCCGGGTGGGTGTGGGTTTGGCAAGCCTGGCACTCGGAGCAGCCGGCCAGCCCTGCCGGCCCCAGGCAATGAGGGGCTTAGCACCCGGGCCAGCGGCTGCGGAGGGTGTACTGGGTCCCCCAGCAGTGCCAGCCCACCGGCGCTGCGCTCGATTTCTTGCTGGGCCTTAGCTGCCTTCCCACGGGGCAGGGCTCGGGACCTGCAGCCCACTATGCTTGAGCCTCCCACCCGCTCCGTGGGCTCCTGTGCCGCCAGAGCCTCCCCGATGAGAGCCGCCCTCTGCTCCACAGTGCCTACTCTGATCGACCACCCAAGGGCTGAGGAGTGCGGTGCACGGCGCGGGACTGGCAGGCAGCTCCACCTGCAGCCCCAATGCGGAATCCACTGGGTGAAGCCAGCTGGGCTCCTGAGTCTGGTGGAGAGGTGGAGAACCTTTATGTCTAGCTCAGGGATTGTAAATACACCAATCAGCACTCTGTATCTAGCTCAAGGTTTGTAAACACACCAATCAGCACCCTGTGTCTAGCTCAGGGTTTGTGAGTGCACCTATCAACACTGTATCTAGCTGCTCTGGTGGGGCCTTAGAGAACCTTATGTCAAGCTCAGGGATTGTAAATACACCAATGGGCACTCTGTATCTAGCTCAAGGTTTGTAAACACACCAATCAGCACCCTGTGTTTAGCTCAAGGTTTGTGAGTGCACCAATCGACACTCTGTATCTAGCTGCTCTGGTGGGGCCTTAGAGAACCTTTATGTCAAGCTCAGGGATTGTGAATACACCAATCAGCACTCTGTATCTAGCTCAAGGTTTGTAAACACGCCAATCAGCACCCTGTGTCTAGCTCAGGGTTTGTGAGTGCACCAATCCACCCTCTGTATCTAGCTGCTCTGGTGGAGCCTTGGAGAACCTGTGTGTCCATACTCTGTATCTAACTAATCTGATGGGGACATGGAGAACCTTTGTATCTAGCTCAGGGATTGTAAACGCACCAATCAAGCACCCTGTCAAAACAGGCCACTCCGCTCTAACAATCAGCAGGATGTGGGTGGGGCTAGATTAGAGAATAAAAGCAGGCTGCCGGAGCCAGCAGTGGCAACCCGCTCGGGTCCCCTTCCACACTGTGGAAGCCTTGTTCTTTTGCTCTTTGCAATAAATCTTGCTACTGCTCACTCTTTGGGTCCACAGTGCTTTTATGAGCTGTAACACTCACCGTGAACATCTGCAGCTTCACTCCTGAAGCCAGCAAGACCATGAGCCCACTGGGAGGAATGAACAACTCCAGATGCGCTGCCTTAAGAGCTGTAACACTCAACGCGAAGGTCTGCAGCTTCACTTCTGAGCCAGGGAGACCACGAACCCACCAGAAGGAAGAAACTCCGAACACATTTGAACATCCGAAGGAACAAACTACAGACGCGCCACCTTAAGAGCTGTAACAGTCACCGCCAGGGTCCGCGGCTACATTCTTGAAGTCAGTGAGACCAAGAACCCACCAAGTCTGGACACAATATGAGAAAAGAGTTATGATTAAAGTTTTCCAGTGATTTACTAAACCATGTCCTCCACTTTTGGAAATTCTTCTTCCTTTACTAATGTTATTATTTGCTAAGCAGCAGATGTCAGATGCTATAGCTGAATTTGCTTAGCTGCCCAAATCAACCCTTTAAAAATTAACTTTATATTGAGCATAAACCGACAAAATTGGCTTAAGTGAAGCTTTGCTAAATGTCTAAAATTGGCTTGTAAAATAATTGACCACTGTAGCTGCAAGTTCAAAAGCAGGTTAGTATGCATTTGGCATCTTTCCATACCAATTATTACAGACTTAAAAGTTTATTTTCCATAGGACCATTCCCATTCTTCTGCCTCTGTCACTTTTTGACTTATTTCTAGTTATCACTATCCTTTTTCTTGATAATATAAATGAAGGGTTAATTTTAAAGATCTAGTTACCAAAAAAAAATTATTACCTAAAAATGAATATTTAAATGTGGAAATTAAAATGATAGTGAAAAGCAACAGTGGTAAAAGCTGTGGCCATTGACAAAGTTCGTATGCACTTACTTTCTAATTATTTTTTCTTGTTTTTATTTTTCTTTAAATTTTTTTTTACATGCTTGGGGGTAAATTGTAGTTTTGGTGTGTAGATATATTGCATAGCCAGCAATGGAACTTATTTTTTAAAATACTACCAACCATATTTCTGTAAGTAAATAACATATGGAATGGAACAGCCATAATTATCAATTGAGATCAAGTATGCATTACTTTTTATTTATATAAAGATGGAATTGTTAAGTTTTAATATTTTAGAATCTAATTTTACATATACAGTATCATTAGTTTACATAAGTACATCCTTAATCATAAACTGAAATACGTCTATTATATTTATTACAAGGATTAACATGACCTGCCAGTTTCTTCTGTTGTAAATGAACTGTAGAGAAAAAGTACCCAAAATTTGAAAATAAACAAAACAAAATATGTACAGTATAATTTCAATGCCATATGAGCTATTGTTTAACAAGCCTACATTACAATTATTTAATTATCTCAGGGAATGTGTCTGTGTTACCATTATTTCATTTGAGCCCAGACTATGTGACGTACATGTTAGTATGAAGATTTCTGTCCCATAGAGAAGAAAATAATGGGGTTCAAAATTTTATTGCCCCATAAGACATTTACTTGTTTTGTAGTTAACTGGGACACATTATTTTAAAATCCTTTAATATTTTTGTCAAAATGACTTTCAATGCCCAGTTTTTCTAAATGCTCTTTAAGTTAGTTTTATCTTTTTACTGTTTTCCTCATTAGTGAATTAATACATTTTTGACACATTTTCATGTCATATTTCTTTGAGTCATGCTGTTAACTTTTTAAAAATTATATTTTGACAGTATAAAATGTAGTCCATTTCCCCAGATATTTTCTATGTTTTATTACTGAGTTAAATTTTATATATTCAGTGGCCATAATTGAAGCTGTTAAATCAAAAAGCCCATTGCAACTTTAAAAATGTCTAACTTTCTGTGATTGACCAAAAAATAAAAAAAGAACTGTTTTAGCTAAGCTTTGATTCCCATATGATTTCACAGCTGACAAAAATAGTGCAAATTAATGTTGAATTTTCTGAAACTCCTCTTTGATCTCAAAACAGGATAGCTGTAGACTTAACACGCTCAATAATCATTTTAAGAGCCAGATCTGTTCACTCATTCGTGTGTCTTTGTTTCCTTTTGTAAGTGTATAAACCCTTAACTCATTTTATCCCATCCTTCTGGCTTGGTGATTTATGCTCTCTAATTGGAATTACTTTCTTCCAATCTCCTCTGTCCTATGTTAGTTTGCCCACAGAAATCTGTTGTCAAGTGTGTGTGTCCTCTTTCTATTCTTAAAATTCAACTTAGTTTATAAGAAGGATTTAAGCATGAGCTTCTCTTATCAGTCAGGAGCCAAAATATTCCTCATCACATTTCTTATTGAAATTACACACACACATTTAACTCAAAGCCAGTGATAAATGAAAATTTAAGATTTAAATATTTCATCTCATTTACAAAGTACAGTAAGCAGAGTATATTTCCTGAAACTTATTCCATTGAAAAAGTATAAACAAATCAGAGAATAGATATGCAAATTGTACTTGGGTTGAGGAATCAGTGTCAGGAAATGATGTCATTTGCACTGTGAAGCATTCACTGTCTTTAAAGTCAAAAGACACATTTGCAACAATATGGATGTTCCTGAAGTCTGATATGCTAAGTGAAATAAGCCAGGTGCAGAAAGACAAATACTGCATGATTTCACTCCTATGTGGAACTTAAGAAAGTTGATCTCACTGAATTAGAGAGCAGCATGGTTACCAGAGGCTGGGGTGGTTCCACAGGGAGGGGCAATTGTAGAGATACTGATCAAAGCATTCATATTAGAGTTAGATAGAAGGAATAAGTTCAAGAGCTCTGTTGTACAACATGGTGACTCTAGTTAATGATGGTATATTGTATTCTTGAAAACTGCTAAGAGGGTAGATGTTCAAATTTCTCATCACAAAAATGGTAACTATGTGTAAGGTAATACATTTGTTACTTAGCTAGATTTGAGCATTTCACAATGTATATGTACTGAAGAACATCATGTACACAATGAATACATACAATTGTAGTGTTAATTACAAAAATAAATTTAAAAAAGAAGTCACAGAAGTCACAGCTGATATAATAGCAAAATTTATCCTTCTTACTCTATTGAGCATATTACATTTCTACTACAGGAAGGCTGTTTATAAAATTTCACAGCAAATCGTGTTAAAATTTTCAGAGTATTCTGCTTAATGGGTTGATGTATTTCCTCATACATGTACTGGCAGCTCAGAGATTTCTTTGTCAATCAGAAGTGGGGGCATTGTTACCAACGAAAAGCATGGCTGCATCACAACAAATCTGTCTGTCTGCCAGATGCACCATCATTGTAAACCAGAGGACCTTATTTCTCCCTTAAAAAATAACAAAATAACATTCTTAATCAACCAGAATGTCTCTTTCCCTCATGCACATCACCTTACTGAAAGGTTCCCTTTGTTCGCTTAAAATCTAATCCAACCTCCATAAAAACTTCTCTATGTTTTATCTTGCAAAGTAGAATATACTTCCTCAGAGACATTGTGTGGTTGATGGTTTAGAACATTATTTTTAATGTCCTTATTTACTTACCATCCTTTTCCCATGCACAAATTGAGGATATCAGCAAAGATTAGCTCTTTCTACTGTACTCTCTCCCATTCTATGCTTTCTCATGTTTTATTCTGGAAATTAGGATAGAATTTATTGTTATTACATAAATCATTACTAAATTCTTTGTATTGAAGAATAGAATCATTATGAGTGATACAAATGGATTTATTATGGTGATAGGATCTTACACAATTTTGAGACTGGCTTAAGCAAGCTATGTAATTTGTTATCCTGTAACCAAATGTTCTGGTCTTGATGTCAGCTAGTCTGGCTGGCAGGGAGCAAAGACAAACATGAAAAGGGGGTATATGGTTTGGGCACGGAAGCTCAGCCCTGTAATCCCAGCACATTGACAGGCCAAGGTGGGAGGATCATTTGAGGCCTATATTTCAAAAAAGGAGTATCCAGGCAAAGTGGACCCCTCAAGGGTGAAATGGAATTCATTAAATGAACAGGAATCAATGTTTTTTAATGACCCCTTCTATTCGCCAACTTCACTGATGCCAGCAACCTGCAGAAGAACTGGCACACTTTGCCACAGACATACATATGAACCATGCCTAGGAATTGAGGAAAATAAACAAAGGAATGTGGTGGAAGCTGAAAGGATTAAAGCCCAAATGCTGCACAGGGAGATCAGCAGGGTTTAGAGGAGCTGAGTGTTCTGAAGCCACTAGTTGCCAACAGGGTGAACCAGCGAAAGTGTGACAATGAGCTTGAGCTGCAGCAGCACCTGATGTTGTATCAACTTTCTGTGATTCATTCTGATTACTAAATCCTGTGCAAATGACTCTTGAAGCCTAACTTAGAAGAGTGCCATCATTGCTCACTGCCTTTTATATCTAAATGTTCCCATTTGCGATTATTTTTATTCATCTCTCATTTGGCCAGGGTACAGTTTGAAAATATTTTTCAGAAAATTAATATGAGTAGTAAACTTTCTACATATTGGAGCATAGTTTCTCTTTGAAAATCTGAATGATTGTACAACATTTTGGGTTTTATTAATGGTGACCTTGTCATTGTTGCTGCTATTTGCTGTGTTATATTGCTATTGTTATTGTTTACAGGAACGGTCTAAATACACAGATTCATTCCTACTATGCCTTTATCATCTTTCTTTTTTTCCTAAAGATGATTATCAGAGCTTCTAGTGATTTTTGAAATTCATAGTTTTAGTGGTATAGTTAGATATTATTGTATTTCATTATTTTTTGCTGTAGTAAAATAAGCTATTTTTATTTATGGATTCATGTCTAGGTCACATCAAAATATTTTTGTTTTCTTTAGTAAATCTCTGAAGCATTTGTCTATCCTAGTGACTAAGTATTTTAAAAAAACTTTTAAAGAGTCAATTATTTGTGGGATGAAGCGTTATCCATTTTCAGTCCCATGCAGCTGCTCACCTTTCTACAGTTATTTTTTCTTTCCTTTTTAAAAATTTTTATTCTTGTCATCTATGAAGTAGGAAGAACATCCTGCTTTCAAAGGTTCTTTCACCGTATATTAATTAGATTTTCTAATTGAGTTTGTACTTTTCTACTTTTGAGGATAGTTTAAATTTATCACTGTGATTATTTGCATAATTCCTTTTATTTAAAAATCTGATGACAATTTATTTCAATATTCATATAAATACTTTCCAACCTATCTTCCACTTTTCTTGATCCTTTCTTGATCTTTCTCTCCCAACCTCACCAAGCCCAGACTTATTTTATGCATCTTTGTGAGGTGGGGAAGAGAAATAAGAGCAGCTAAAATCTACTCGTGGCAAATTTTCAGTACACAGTACAATATAATACAGTATTATTAACTGTAGTCATCATGCTATACTTTAGATCTTTAGATTTATTCATTGTAAATAACTGAAAATTTGTATCCACTGATGCATTTCTCCTAATTTCCTGCCCCTGCCCACCCCTGGTTACCAATATTCCACTCTTCATTTCTATGTATTCAACCTTTGTATCGATTCTACATATAAGTGAAACCGTACAGAATTTTTCATTCTGTTTCTGGCTTATTTCACTGAGCATAATAATGGCCTCTAAATTCATCCTGTTTTTTTTTTTTAAATAAAAGACAGTATCTTCTTTTTAAGGCTGAATAGTATTCCATAATGTATACATACTATAGTTGTTAAACCATTTATTCATTGATGGGTACTTAGATTGTTTCTATACCTTGGCTATTGTGAATAATGCTGCAATGAACACAGATATGCAGACGTCTCTACAAGGTGCTGATTTTATTCTCTTTGTGTATTTGTCCAATAGTGAGATTTTTGGATGATGTGATAGTTCTATTTTTAATCTTTTAGGAACCTCTATACTCTTTTCCATAATGGCTGTACCAATTTATCTTCCTACCGACAGCGTACAAGAGTTTTCCTTCTCCACACTCTTAAACAGCACTTGTTATCTCTTGTCTGTTGTATTATATTCATCCTAACTGGTATAGGGTGATATCTCACTGTGGTTTTGATTTATATTTCCTTGATGATTAACAATATTTAGTACTTTTTCATATACCTGTTGACCCTTTTTATGTCTTCTTTGGAAAAATGTCTGTTCAAGATTTTTGTCCACTTGTAGTTAGGTTTTTTTTTCTTAATTACTATTAAATTGTTTGAGTTCGTTATATATTTGCATATTAACCCCTCATCAGACATATGGTTTTCAAATAGTTTCCCCCAATCCATACACTGCCCTTCCTTCTATTCATTGTTTTCTTTGTTGTGGAGAACCTTTTTAGTTTAATGTTGTTCCACTTAATTATATTTGCTTTTGTTATTTGAGCTTTTGGTGACATATCAAAAAAATTATTACCAAAGCCAATGGCAATGATCTTTTCTTCTGTTTTTCCTTTGAGAGTTTTACAGTTTTAAATCTTTAAATGAAGGTATTTAATCAACTTTAAGTTAATGTTTGTATATGGTATAAGAAACGAGTCCAGTTTCATTCTTTTGCATGTTGCTATCCAGTTCTTCTAAAACCATTTATTGACAAGACAGTCCTTTCCTCATTGTGTCTTTTGGTGGCCTTGTTGAACATTAGTTGACCACACATGCTTGGATTTATTTCTGGGATCTCTATTCTGTTCCACTGGTCTATGCATCTATTTAATTAAAGTACCATAATGTTTTAATTATAACTGCATAATATAATTTGAAATCAGGAAGTGTGATGAGTTTGTTTTTTTCTCAAGATTGCTTTCCCTATTTGGGTTCTATTGCACTTCCATATAAAATTTAAATTTTTTTTCTATTTATGTGAAAAGGCCATTGGAATTTTAATAAAAATTTCATTGACTATGTAAAGTGCTTTGGGTAGAATGAACATTTTAACAATATTAAACCTTCCAATCCATGAACACAAAATATCTTTCTATTTTTTGTGTCTTCCTTAATTTTTTTCATCAACATTTTATAGTTTTCAGTGTACAAGTATTTTACTTCCTTTTATTCCTCAATATTTGTTATGTTTGAAGAATATATTGTTATTGGTGTATAGAAATGCAACTGATTTTTGTATGTTGATTTTATATCCTGCTACTTTACTGAACTTATGAACATATAAGCAAAATTTTACAATATATTAGCAAATATAATGCAAAAATATATAAAATACATAATACACCACGTCCAATTGTAGTTTATTCTGAGGATGTAAGTCTGGTTCAATAATTGAAAATCAATCAGTTTATTTTGTCATATGCTAAATCTAAAGAAGAAAAAAAGATTATATCGATTGATGCAGAAAAGGAATTTATCATATTACAAATAATAATAGCTTTTCATGAGAAAAAATCTGACTAAACAATAATTAAAATGGAATATACTTGACTAGAAAGGGAATTCATGCAAAACCAATTGCTAACATAATGCTTAACAATGAATAACTGTAAATGTTCACCATAAGATCACAAACAAGGCAAAGATGGCCTCTCTTATTACTCCTATTCAGTATTGTACTGAAATATTAGCCAAACAAAAAGGGGGAGAGAGCAGAGTGTGGGGCGGGAGAAGATACTCATTGGAAAGAAATAAAAACTCATATTACTTGTTTTTATTAAGCGTAGCACAGAAGTTTGATAATTTCAACAAAGAAAATAGAAGTTAAAGGCAATTAGTGGCCAATCTGACTTATGTACACAGAATCAAAGGTATATCACTTCCAATTTCAGTTTTTATAAAAATGCAAGTTTGGCTTAAAATACAAAAGTAAATTACTAAAATTTGTCATTTTTCAAATTAAAGGAACACATCATATACTTATTATACTAGATGTAGAAAAATAACTTTTAATAAAAATGAATTCCCTTTACAGAAAAGTTAGCAAATTTAAGATTAGAAGTTAACTTTCTTAAGCTAGCAAAGATATGTACAAAAACACTATGTTACTACTTGGAAAGTTTTCTTGCAGATGTTGAAAACCAAAAAAGATATTCTAGAAACTGACTTTTATTGAACATTGCACTAGATGTCTTAGCCAGCTTATTAATGTGTGAAATAAAACTATGTTAATGGGAAAGTAGAATAAAAAATATTTTACTTTCAAATGATATGTGTATAGCAATAATATTCAAAAGAATTTTCTATATCAAATTATTATAATTTATAGGATAATTCAGCAATTTGTTGGATACAAATTAAAAATGAAAAATCAAGTACAAATTAACAAAACTCAGTAATTCAATTTTTGGGTATATATCCAAAAGGATTGACGGCAGTATCTCAAAGAGATATGTGTACACTCATGGACACAGCAGCATTATTCACAACAGTCAAAAGGTAGAAGCATAAACAAAATGTGGTATAGACATACAATGGAATATTATTCAGCTTTTAAAAAGAAGGAAATTGGCTGGGTGCAGTGGTGCACACCTGTAATCTGAGCACTTTGGGAGGCCAAGGCAGGCAGACCACCTGAGGTCAGGAGTTCAAGACCAGTCTGGTCAACATGGCGAAATCCCATCTCTACTAAAAAATAAAAAAATTAGCCCAGTGGGTGGTGGTGGGTGCCTGTAGTCCCAGCTACTCAGGAGGCTGAGGCAGGAGAATTGCTTGAATCTGGGAGGCAGAGGTTGCAGTGAGCCAAGGTGGCACCACTGCACTCCAGCCTGGGCGACAGAGCAAGACTCCATCTCAAAACAAACAAACAAATAAATAAATAAAATAAAAAGAAGAAAACTGCATACTATGCTAGGGTTAGGATTAGGGTTTACATAGATAAACTTGGTGGACATTATGTTAAGTAAAATAATCCAGTTGTGAAAATACAAATATTTAATAATTTCATTTATATGAAATAACTAAAGCAGTCAAATTTATAGAGACAGACAGTAGACTAGTGGTTGCTAGGTGCTAAGGGAATAGGTTATGAAGTAGAGTTGTTGTTTAATGGGTGTAGAGTTTCAGTATTGCAAGATGAAAATATAATAATTCTGATGATTGGTTTCACAATGTATAGATGTACTTAACACAACTGAACTATACACTTAAAAAAGTTAAGATTTTAAATTATATATTACATATATTTTAGCAACATTATTAAAAATCAAGTGCATTTCTATAAACCAGCAGTAAACATGTGGACACTGCATATTTTTAACAAGATAACATTTTTTTTCAGAGTCATTGTTCTGCAGATCTCCCATGTCCACCTTTCAGAAAGGTATTGGAAAGAGCATCCCTGAAGCTAAGCCATTCATATCATCTGCATAGGGCCCTCATATAGGGTCACTCCATTTATATATTTTTTTCAAAAATATCAAGTCTATGAATAAATCTAACAAAATCTATGAAAGGCCATATATGTGTGTAGGTAAATTATAAATTTTATCACACATCAAAAACAAAATAAATGATAAATGTAGATGTAAATATACATTTTCATATTCGTGGGTTGAAATACTACATAAATTACTTTTCTCCAAGTTGATATACAGATTTAGCACAATTCAGTCAATACCATTTTTTCTGTGACATGTGCTTACATGAACTGACAATTTTTAAAATTTATATAAAATTGCTATATAAAAATTCTTTTTCAAATTTATATAGAACTAAAGGAAAATAATAAACCCATAAAAGATCTGCACATACAGTGGTGTTATTATATGTGAGAATTTGCAGATTAACCTGAAATAAGATTGACTTTTATAAATGAGAAGTATAAGAAGAGCACCATTTTAATATTGTGACAATTTAATATTATACTAAGTTGATATTCCCACCTGGTATTTCAAAGTGCAATAAAAAGGTTACTGGATAACAATTGTGTATGTAGGGGGTTTCTTTCGATTTCTCTAAATTTATAATTTTTAATCTGTGGAAGGCAAAAATGATTTTTTTTATCATCAGTTTTTGATGGTCAGAGGAAATATTAAATAAGACATCATAGACATAATGTAATCATTGGTCAATTTTTTTGTATAAGGAAAATACTGAATATAATAAAAACTTTATACCTGGTGAAAAACAAACAAGCAACCAACACCACTAACCACAAATTTTTAAAGTCTTAATCTTTACAAACTTAACTTTTTGCTTATTTCAAATTGCACTTAGCTGAATTCATAATAACTCTTAAAATAACATACATTTTAATATCATGTAATCATTCTTCTCAGACTTTTTTTCCTTTCCTGACTGCATGTGTTATTGTCTTTACAAAGTTCAAGTATATAAAACTTCTTTAAAAATATTTTTTAAATTAAATCTCTCTTTTATTTTAGCAAAATAAAATAAAATTTTAACATATTCTAATGATGTTAATTTATCCATTTCAAAGAGAGCCAATGCAATAGGGTTCTCTAATATTAATTCACGTTATCTTAAAACTTCATATGAAGTATTAATTTGCTAAGGTTGCTGTAATACTATAGACTGGCTGGCTTAAGCAACAACACTTAGTTTCTAATAGTTTTGAAGGCTGGAAATCCAAGTTCAAGGTGCTGGTGGGTTTGGTGTCTTTTAAGGTTTCTCTCTCTCTCCTTTGCTTGCAGATGGCAAGCAATCACCTTTTCTGTGTCCTCATATGGTCTATCTTATGTGCACTCAAATCCCTGGTGTCTCTTCCTCTTCTTCAAAGGATACCAGCCTTGCTAGATTAAAGCCTTATCCTAATAGCCATACTCTTTAAAGGCCCTGTCTCCAAAACCAGTCACATTCTGAGGTACCAGGAGTTAAGACCTTCAACATAAAAACCTTAGGGGTGATCACAATTAAGTCAATAACATATGGGTATTTAAAGTTTAAACTCGTTGAATTTATTTCAGAGTTTTTAACCTCACTTTCTATTATGTCCCTTTTAATTTTATGCATATGGCTTAAAATTTAACAACAAAGAAACACAAATTAATTTTTATATTTTGCTGATGGATTTACTTAGTTTATTCTGAACTTGCAAGAAAAGTTTCAGTACAGGCTTACCTCATTTTATTGTGCTTTGCTTTATTATGCTTCACATAAAAAATCCAAAGCCAATTTTCAAATTGAAAGTTTCTGGCAACCCCGCCTTGAGCCAGTATATCAGTGCCATTTTTCCAACAATGTATGATCACTTTTTGCTTCTGTGTCAAATTTTTGTAATTCTTTCAATATTTCAAACTTTTTCTTTATTATTATATCTTTATGGTGATCTGTGATCAGTGATCTTTGATGTTACTATTGTGATGATTTTGAAGCACCACAAATCACCCCCATATAAGATGGCAAACTTAATAGGTAAATGTGTGTGTCCTTACTGCTCCACCCACTGGCCATTGTTCCATCTCTCTCCCTCTTCTCGGGCACCTCCTAGTCCCTGAGACACAATAATATTGAAATTAGGCCAATAACTCTACGGTGACTTCTGAATCTTCAAGTGAAAAAAAAAATTCTTGTCTCTCACTTTAAATCAAAAGCTAGACATAATTAAACTTTTTCAAGAAGGCATACTGAAAGATGACACAGGATGATCTGGATAAAATGGCAGATGGGAGACAGCACTAATGTGCAGCTCCCACTTGGATGGACAGAGCAACATCTGGAGACTCACATTGTGAACTTTTGCTCTAAGAACCACTGCAGGAACATACCAGGAAAACTGAAAGAATTCACAAACGCTTTGAAAGAAACAGTTTGCTGCTGCAAGTGCCACAAGACAGCCAAAAAACTGTGAGTTTTCAAAGTGTGAGAGGGGGAAAAGTTAGCCTCTGAAAACACATCCCCACTGGGGAACCTGAAAATCCACATCAAGGGAGAAGGGTTTAAACTTACCTAGAGCTGAAATGGATTTAGGGAGCCAAGTGAAATATAAAAGTAGAACAAGCAGTGGGAAGAACCTTGTGGGCACTCCCAGTCCCCAGCTAGAACCCAGGGAAGCCATTCCTGGCCTTATTTTACAGAGGTCCTCGGGGAATGGAAGGCAGCCAGGAAAACTGGGGAGGGGCCACAGGGTGAAAGAAGCTCCTAGCTGAACTTTGCAATAATGTCAATTGAGCATGAAGTTTCCTGAACAGAATCCAGAAGGGTGAAAAGGAAGTGCAGATAGGAGCATAGAAGCCACAGCTGAAGGTGCAGGGAGGTGGGGAGAGAGATAAAGCTGTAGCCCTGCTTGCTTTCTCAGTAGGGAGGCTTGTAGCTTTGGGCAAGATTTCTACCCTGCTCCCTGGCTGCCTGGATATAAATTCAGTGTGGTTGGGGGTGCACAGCAGGAGTGAGACTGGACTTGCTGGCTGCCTGGGAGCTGGGTGAGGCCTGTCACTTCCAGCTTTCCCCAGTTTCCCAAGTAACTGATATGACTCAGCAGAGGCAACCATAATCCCCCTGGGGACATAACTCCATTGGCCTGACCACCACACCCCCATCCCTCACAGGGCCTGCAGCAAGTCCTGCCCAAGAAGAGTCTGAGCTCAGATCCACCTCACCCTACCTGCACCTAATGGTTTTTCTCTACCGTCTCTGGCAGCCAAAGACAAAAGACATAAATTCTTGGGAGCTCTATGGCCCTGGCCATTGCCTGAGTAACCTGAAAACTTATCCTGGCCAATGTAGGGCAAGATTATATCCCCCTTCTACTACTGCAACTTATGCTGTCTTGAAAGCACAACTTCCTGGCTGGAGACCAACCAACTCAAACCATAACAGCAACTCATAACAGAGCAGCCCTGTTCCAAGAAGAAGAAGACAACAGCTACTTCCACCACCTGCAACACTCTGGCTAACCAGGGGTCCCAAGTCTGTCCATTTGACAAATTCACTGCTAGTATAATCAGTATTTGGGGAAACCAGCCCACTAAACAAAATTATAACCAAGGACTCCCACAGAATTCACTTCACTCCCCTGCCACCTCCACCAGAGTAGGTCCTGGTATCCATAGCTTGGAGACCTGAAGATGGATCACATCCCAGGAATCTTTACTGACATTCCCTAGAACCACCCTGGAGCTCAGTAGTCCTGCTGGGTGGCTAGACTCAGAAGAACAATAACAATCTGATATGGTTTGGCTGTGTCCCTATGCAAATCTCATCTTGAATTGTAACTCCCAGAATTCCCACAAGTTGTGGGAGGAACCCAGTGGGAGGTGATTGAATTATGGGTGTGGGTCTTTCCTGCATTGTTCTTGTGATAGTGAATGAGTCTCAGGAGAGCTTATTCTCAGTAAACTATCGCAAGGACAAAAAACCAAACACCGCATATTCTCACTCATAGGTGGGAACTGAACAATGAGATCACATGGACACAGGAAGGGGAATATCACACTCTGGGGACTGTTGTGGGGTGGTGGGAGGGGGGAGGGATAGCATCGGGAGATATACCTAATGCTAGATGACAAGTTAGTGGGTGCAGCACACCAGCATGGCACATGTATACATATGTAACTAACCTGCACAATGTGCACATGTACCCTAAAACTTAAAAGTATAAAAAACAAAACAAAAAATGGGAGTTTCTCTGCACAAGCTGTATCTTTGCCTGCCACCATCCAGGTAACATGTGACTTGCTCCTCCTTGCCTTCTGCCATGATTGTAAGGCCTCTCCAGCCACTTGGAGCTATGAGTCCAATTAAATCTCATTCTTTTGTAAATTGCCCAGTCTTGGGTTTGTCTTTATCAGCAGTGTGAAAATAGACTAATACACAATTACTGGTGTCTGGCTCTCAGGAAGCCCCATCACTAAGGGAAGGGGGAGAGCACCATATCAAGGGATCACCCTGTGTGACAAAAGAATCTGAACACCAGTCCTTGAGTTCCAGATCTTTCCCCTGAAACAGTCTACCCAAATTAGAAGGAACCAGAAAAGTAATTCTGGTAAAATGACAAAACAAGGACTCCCAAAAGATCACACCAGCTCTCCAGTAATAGATTAAAACCAAGAAGAAATCTCTAAATTGTCAGATAAAGAATTTGGAAGGTTGATTATTAAGCTACTCAAGGAGGCACCAGAAAAAGGTGAAAAACAACTTAAGAAATTTTAAAAACAATACAGGATTTGGATGCAAAACTCTCCAGAAAAATAGATATTATAAAGAAAAGACAGACACAACTTCTGTAAAAGAGAGACATACTTAGAGAAATGCAAAATACACTGGAAAGTTTCAATAGAATAGAACAAGTAGAAGAAAGAACTTCAGGGCTTGAAGACAAGTCTTTCAAATTAACCCAATCCAACAAAGAAAAAGAAAAAAAATTACATGAACAAAGCCTCCAGTAAATTTGGGATTATATTAAACAAGCAAACATAAAAATAATAGATGTTCCCAAGGAATAAGAGAATTCTAAAAGTCTGGAAAACTTATTTGAGGAAATAATTGAGAAAAACTTCTCTGGTCTTGCTAGAGATCTAGACATTGAAATACAAGAAGCTCAAAGAGTTACTACGAAATTCATTGTTAAAACATCATCACCATGGCACGTAGTCATCAGGTTATCTAAAGTCAAGATAAAGGAAGGAATCTTAAGAGCTGTGAGGAAAAAAATAGCACCAGGTAACCTATAAAGAAAAACCTACCATATTAAAAGCAGATTTCTCAGCAGAAACCTTGCAAGCCAGAAGGGATTTGAGTCCTATCTTTAGCCTCCTTAAACAAAATAATCATCAGACAAGAATTTTGTATCCAGTGAAACTAAGCTTTATACATTGAGAGATAAAATTTTTTTCAGACAAAGAAATGATGAGAGAATTCACCACTACCAAACCAGCACTACCAGTAATGCTAAAAGGAGTTCTAACTCTTGAAGCAAAACCTCAAAATACTCCAAAATGAAACCCTGTTAAAACGTAAATCTCACAGGACCTATAAAAAAACAGTAACACAATGAAAAAAATATCAAGGTATTCAGGCAACAACTAGCATGATGAATAGAACAGTACCTCATATCCCCACACTAATATTGAATGTAAATGGCTTAAATGCTCCACTTAAAAGATACAGAATGGCAGAATGGATAAAAATTCACCAATCAAGTATCTGCTATCTTCAGGAGACTCACCTAACACAGAAGGACTCACATAAACTTAAGGTAAAGGGGTGAAAAAAGATATTCCATGCAAATGGATACCAAAAGCAAGCAGGAGTAGCTATTCTTACACCAGACAAAGCAGATGTTAAACCAACAACAGTTTAAAAAGACAAAAGGAACATTATATAATGATACAAGGACCAGGCCAACAGAAAAACATCACAATCCTAAGTATCTATGTGCCTAATACTGGAGCTCTTAAATTTATAAAATAATTACTACTAGAGCTAAGAAATAAGGCAGACAGCAACACAAAAATAGTGGGGGACTTCAATACTCTGCTGACAGTATTAGACAGGTCATCAAGACAGAAAGTCAGCAAAGTAACAATGTACTTAAACTATATCCTAGAATAAATGGACTTAACAGATATTTACAGAATATTCTATCCAACTATTGCAGAGTATGCATTCTTTTAATCAGCACATGGAACATTCTCCAAGATAGATCATGTGATAGGCCACAAGAAAAGTCTCAATAAATTTAAGAAAATTGAAATCATATCAAGTACTCTCTCAGACGGCAATGGAATAAAATTGAAAATTAATTCCAAAAGGAACCCTCAAAACTATACAAATATATAGAAAATAAATAATATCCTCCTGAGTGATCTTTGGGTGAATGATGAAATCATAATGGAAATTTTAAAATTATTTGAAGTTAATGATAATAGTGGTGCAATTTTTCAAAACCTCTGGAACACAGCAAAAGCAGTGTTAGAGAAAATCTCACATCAATAAATGCCTACATCAAAAGGTCTGAAGGAGCACAAATAGCCAACCTAAGTTCACATCTCAAAGAACTAGAGAAACAAGAACAAACCAAATCAAAAGCCAGCAGAAGAAAATAAATAACAAAGATCAGAGTAGGATGAAATAAAATTGAAACAACAACAACAAAAATCAAATGATAGATGATATGAAAAGCTGGTTCTTTGAAAACATAAACAAAATCAACAGATCATTAATGAAATTAACCAAGAAAAGAAGACAGAAATCCAAATACACTCAATTAGAAACAAAATTGGAGATATTACAACCAATAGAAATGCAAAAGACCATTCAAGGCTACTATGAACACTTTTACACACAAAAGTAGAAAAGCTAGAGGAGATGGATAAATTCCTAGAAATGCGCAATCCTCCTAGATTAAATCAGGAAGAAACAGAAACTCTGTATAGACCAAATAAAAAGTAGGAAGATTGAAACAGTAATAAAATAAATTGTCAACAAATAAAAATCCAGGACCAGGTAGATTCACAGCTAAATTCTATAAGACATTCAATGAAAAATTTGTACCATCCTACTGAAACTATTCCAAAAGATAGAGAAAGAGGGGAACCTCCCTAAATCATTCTATGAAGTCAGTATCACCCTAATATCAAAACTAGGAAAGGACATAACAAAAAACGAATATTACAAACCAATATCTTTGATGTAAATCCTCAGAAAAATAGCTAACCAAATCCAACAGCATATCAAAAAGATAATACACCATGATCAGGTGGGTTTCATACCAGGAATGCAGGGTTGGTTTAACATACACAAGTCAATAAATGTGATATACCACAGGAACAAAGGTAAAAACAAAAATTATATGATCATCTCAGTAGATGCAGAAAAAAAATTTGATGAAATTCAGCATCCCTTTATGATTAAAATCCTCAGCAAAATCATCATAGAAAGGGCATGCTTTAAGGTAATAAAAGCCATCTATGACAAACAAACAACCAACATTATATTGAATAAGGAAAAGTTGAAACCATTTTCCCTGAGAACTGGAAGAAGACAGGATGCCCATTTTCACCATTTCTATTTAACACAGTACTGGATGCCCTAGCCAGAGCAATCAGAAAAGGGAAAAAAAATGAAGGGCATCCAAATCAGTAAAGAGGAAGTCAAACTGTGGCTGTTCATCAATGATATGATCCTATACTTAGAGAACCCTAAAAGCTCATCCAAAAAGCTTCTAGATCTGATAAATGCATTCAGTTAAGCTTTAGGATATAAAATCAATGTACACAAATTGGTAGCACTGCTATACACTAGGAGTGACAAAGCTGAGAATCAAATCAAGAACTCAAACCCTTTTATAACACCTGCAAAAAAAACCATAAAATATTCAGGAATATATCTAACTCAAGAGGTGAAAGATCTACAAGGAAAGCTATAAAACGTTGCTGAAAGTAATCATAGATGACACAAACAAAAGGAAACACTTCTCATGCTCATGGATGGGTAGAATCAATACTGTGAAAATGACCATACTGCCAAAGCAATCTATAAATTCAACTCCCATCAAAATACCATTATCATTTTTCACAGAACTAGAAATAAACAATCTTACAATTTATATGGAACCAAAAAAGACCCCAGATAGCCAAAGCAAGACTAAGCAAAAAAAACAAATATGAAGGCATCACATTACCCAACTTCGAACTACACTACAAGTCTATAGTTACCAAAACAGCATGGTATTGGTATAAAAATAAGCAGGTAGATCAATGGAACCAGATAGAGAGCGCAGAAATAAAGCCAAATACTTACAGCCAACTGATCTTCAACAAAGAAAACAATAATATAAAGTGCAGAAAAGACACCCTATTCAACAAATGGTGCTGGGATAATTGGTAAGTCACACATAGAATAATGAAACTGGATCCTCATCTTTCACCTTATAGAAGATAGAAGATAACATCTGAAAAACTCTGCTAGACATTGGCTTAGGCAAAGAGGTTATGACCAAGAATCCAAAAGCAAATTTAACAAACACAAAGATAAATAGTTGGGACTTAATTAAACTGAAAAGCTGATGCACAGCAAAAGAAATAATCAGCAGAGTAAACAGACAACCCACAGAGTGAGATAAAATATTTGCAAATTATGTATTTGCATTAATACATAGATTAATATCCAGAATTTACAAGGAACTCAAACAAATCAGAAAAAAAAATCTCATCAAAAAGTGGGTTAAAGACATGAATAACAATTCTCAAAAGAAGATATACAAATGGTGAACAAACATGAAAAAATGTTCAACATCATTATCAAGAAAAGTGAAAATCAAAACCACAATGTGATACCACCTTACTCCTGCAAGAATGGCTATAATTTAAAAATCGAAGAGTAATAGATGTTGGCATGGATGTGGTGAAATGGAAACATTCTTACACTGTTGGTGGAAATGTAGACTTGTACAACTGCTATGGAAAAGAGTGTGGAGATTCCTTAAAGAATTAAAAGTAGAACTACCAGTTGATCCAGCAATCCCACTAGTGAATATCTACCTAGAGGAAAAGATGTCAGTATATAAAAAAGACACTTGCACACACAGGTTTATAGCAGCACAATTCACAATTGCAAAAATATGGAACCAACCTAAATGTCCATCAACCAATGAGTGGATAAAGAATTTGTGATATATAAATGCCATAAAATACTACTCAACCAAAAAAAGAAATAAAATAATGGCATTCGTGCAACCTGGATGGAGTTGGAGACCATTTTTCTAAGTAAAGTAACTCAGCAATTGAGAACCAAACATTATTTGTTCTCACTTGGAAGTGGGAGCTAAGATATTTGGATGCAAAGGCATAAGAAGGATATATGGACTTTGAGAACTTGGGGGTAAGGTTGGGAGTGTGGTGAGGGATAAAAGACTATGCATTCGGTGCAGTGTACACTGCTTGGGTAATAGATGCACTGAAATCTCAGAAATCACACCTAAAGAACTTATCCATGTAACCAAACTCTGCCTGTTCCCTCAAAACTGTTGAAATAATAATAAAATAAAATAAAATCCCATTAATTTAACCAAGATTTATTGAATACCTATCATATATCATGCACTATGATGAACACTGGGTTGACAAAGATTAAAAACATCATGATCCATGCATTCAAGAACTTGACATCTAAACCTCAGCATCACATAACATACCCATGTAACAAACAAGCACAGGTACCCTCATATCTAAAATAAAAATTGCAATTATTAAAAAAAGAAAGCTGACATAGGCTGAAAACTAGGCCTCTTGCACCAAATAGTTAACCAAATTTTGAATGAGAAGAAAAAGTTTTTGAAGGAAAGTTCTCCTTCAGTGAAGACACACGTGTTAAGAGAGCAAAACAACCTTATTGCTGACATGGAGAAAGGTTTAGTAGTGTGGATAGAATATCAAACCGTCCTTAATATTCCCTTAACCCAAAGCTTGATACAGAGCTTGAACTCTCTTCAATTATTGAAAGGCGGAGAGAGATGAGGAATCTGGAGACCTTTGCAGCTAGCAGAGATTAGTTCTTGAGGTTTAAAGAAAAAAAGTGTTTTCATAAGATAAAAGTGCAAGAAGAAGCAGTAAGTGCTGATGTAGAAGCTGCAACATGTTATCCAGAGATCTAGCTGAGATCATTGAAGAAGGTGGCTACAATAAACAACAGATTTTCAACGGAGATGAAATAGTCTTCTATTGAAAGACGATGCCATCTAGGACTTAAATAGCTAGAGAGGAGAAGTCAATGTCTGGTTTCAAAGCTCAAAGGATAAGCAGGACTGCCCACCCAGTGTGACCTATACTGGGCAGGCTCAGGCACCTGTACCACTTGCATACTCACTGCACATACATTGCACTGGTGTGATCTACCTTACCCCTGTGCCCCAGCCATGTCAGGTGCAGAGGCACTCTTTATGCATGGGAATGACCCAGAGGGAACATTTACTCACTTTAAATGCAGCTTTTCTTAGAGAAAAAGCCAGCCTGAGTGTCAGTGGCTGGTCAAGGACAACAGTGAGGCCACTGGAGACGCCAAGATAGCTGTCAAAGGGAAAGGACAAAAGGAAAAGGAAAAGCAAGAGCAGAGGCAAGGACCAGAAAAAACTGAAAATCTGAAAAAGCAACTGACTGAAATAAAGGAAAAATCCCAGGAGGAGAAAGGAAAACTGAAACAAAAGTACACTGTGCAAATAAATAAGCTGGAGGAATAGTTCCATTAAAAAATCCGAAGGAATTAGCCTTATTCAGACAGAGCTGAAAACAATAAACAAGAAAGAATAAGATGTTCTAAAGAAGAATTTAAAGAACAATAAATAGAAACATAAGGAGACTGTTAGGACCTGGGAAGGCATGGTTTTTGAAGAAAATCATCGACTAGAACAAAAGGCTGAAAAAAGACAATGCTGGCGATGAGATCCCATCATGAAGTTGTCGTGCAATTGAACAATGATGGAAAAAATGTGTTTAAAGAGAGTAGTTATCTCCAGAATGCTCTTGCATACCACCTGAAAGAAGTTTATGCTCTACAAAAACGCTCCCAGAAGTTGCAATAGAATCAAATCCTTTTACATCAAAAGGAGATTAATGAGCTCTTGGTTAAGGAAAAGATTATGCAGCTTACCCAGTAGAAAACACAAATCCAAACACTTCAGAAGAAGGTAGTAAGGTTGGAGACTGCTCTAAGTTATAGGACCAGAGTTTGAGACTGAAGTGTTAAAACTGTAGCAACAGCAATGATAGAGAACCAATCAGGTTACGTATAAACTGACAAGCAGTAGCAAAGTCAGGTGAACAAAAGAAAAATGAATTGAGTGAAGAAGCTGGCCAAGAACATGCTAGGTGAGAGAACAGCATTGGACAGTTCTTTTTTAAATGCCCTACACCAAGTGAAATAACAGATCCTATTTATCAGGAAGCATTTAAATTGAAAGCACAAGGGGCTTTCAATTACAAATGAGATCAGCACTTACAGGAAGAATGGAATATCCCCAAATCAGAACAATTGATGACAGAGAGCACAGCATCAATAGTGAAACGGGCTCTTACAGAGACAGAAATAGACAAGTATTGAAGGAAATATGAATATTGGAGATTTGATCTGGGAGCAGAATGAGAAAGTAATGAAATTTCTCTTTGCAAAAATAAACAGTTTTGTTTCTAGGAAATTTAGTCAGATTTCTAGACCTCTAGTTCCAGGCTGTGTTGTCTCTGACGGTGGAGAAAAAAAAAAAATTGAGGAATGAAAGTAAGCTTCAAGATCCAACTTTCATCACCTGGCAAATTCCACTATCAGACTCTTTTCGTGAAATGATGTTTCCCAATATTTTGGAAAGAAAAAATTACAAGTGTCTGACACAGGGACCTTCTGAGAACCACAGATGAACAGCATGTAACTGCACAGAAGCTGTGGGCAGGCATTTCCTTGTAGAAGTCTTACTACAGATTATGTTCAAGAAAGTATCTTAAAGGAAAGAAAGTTAACTCAGAAGTTACCTGTTTGCCACAGAAATTAGTGTCTCCCATGAGGGAAGATCAGAAGCTGGCAAAAGGGAACATTTGCAAAGGCACTGGATTAGTGGCATTCATTTTCGCTTACAGCAGAATAAATCCACGTCAAATATTAAGCAAAGGACTCAAAGACAGAAGCACATCATGTGGAACTACAATAGCATCAGAGACCTTTTTTAAATACCCACCTTCTACCCAATTTTCCACCCCTGATCTTTCATTACTGAGTCAGAAATGGAGCATTGTGAAAGATTAGAGGGACAATCTTTAAATAAAATGCAGTGCTGATCATTGTTTACTATCTCCACTGAAGAGATGGTGAATGGCTTTAAGAATCTTCTGAAAGTTTGTCCACAAACTTCTCTGACTTCCACCACACGAGTGGGAATGTTTCCAAGTTGTAGCTCTATTGGTGGTGAGGATGTCGGTTGCATTTCCATATGGGTTGTTATTTATGATCTTGATGACTTTATCCAATGTTTCTGTCTCCAGACCCACAAGAACTGGCCCCAAAATCTTCTCTTTATAACTAGACATATTTGGCTGCCAGGAGTGTTACATCCAGAAAAAAGTCAGCATTTTAGATTCAAGAAGAAAGAGAGTTTTAAACAACAAGCTGACTCTCTTATTAGGGGCAATTACAGTTGGTGACTAAAGCCAACACTCATTTATCATTCTGAACATTCTGAAAATCATAGAGCCTTTCAGAATGATGCTAAGTCTACTCTTCTTGTGCTCCATAAATGGAGGAACAAAGCTTAGATGGCAACCCATCTGTTTACAGCATGGTTTACTGAATATTTTAAGCCCACTTTTGAGACCTGTTGTACAGAAAAATATTTCTTTCAAAATATTACTGCTCATTGACAATGCGCCTATTTTTCCAGAAGCTCTGATGGACATGTGCAATGAGATTAATGCTATTTTTATGCCTGCTCACACAATATCCATTTTGCAGCCCAAGGATCAAGGAGTAATTTTGACTTTCAAGTCTTATTATTAAGAAATATATTTCATAAGGCTATGACTACCATAGACAGGAATTTATCCAATAAATATTGGCAAAGTAAATTAAAAATCTCTTGGAAATAATTCACCATTCTACATTTATTAAGAACATTCAAGGTTCATAGGAATAGGCTAACATATCAATATTAACAGGAATTTGGAAGAAATTTATTTGAATCCTCATGGATGACTTTGAAGGGTTCAACACCTCAGTGGATGAAGTAACTGCAGATGTGGTGGAAATAGCAAGAGAACTAAAATTAAAAGTGAAGCCTGAAGATGTGACTGAATTGCAGCAATCTTATCATAATATTTGAATGGATGAGGAGTTGCTTCTGCTGGATGAGTAAAGGCTTCTTGAGATGGAATCTACTTCTGATGAAGATGCTGTGAATATTGTTGAAATGACAGCAAAAGATTTATAATGTTACATAGACTATAATAGAGCAATAGCAGGGTTTGAGAGGATTGATTCCAACTTTAAAAGAAGTTCTACTGTGGGTAAAATACTATCAACCAGCACTAAGTACTACAGGGCAACCTCTTGTAAAAGGAATTGTCAGTGGTGCAGCAACTTCACTGTCTGATGGTAAAAAATTGCCAAAGCCACCACGGCCTTCAGCAACAAACACACTGATCATTTGCCAGGAATCAACATCGAGGTAAGACCCTGCAACAGCAAAAATATGGCAAGGTGCTAAAGGCTAAGATAATAGTATTTTTTAAGCAATTAATTGTTTTTAAATTAAGATACATACTTTTTAAAGATATAATTCTACCACATGCTTCATAGACAACAATATAGTATAAACATAGTTTTATATGCACTCGAAAATCTAAAAAGTTGTATGACTTACTTATTGTGACAGTCTGAAACCAAACCTACAGTATCTCCAAAGTATGCGTGAACTGTGGAAAAAAGGTAAATTTGACATGCCTGTTTCACAATGTAAACTACTTAGAATTTGTAGTCTTTTGTTTCCTTCTCTTTGCAATGTCTCTCAACTTACCCTGCACATTTTCTTCAGGTGATAACTTCTCTCCATCTTCTAAATATCCGTAGCTATTAACTCATTTATTCATCCAACATCACTAGAATTTTAGCCACTGGTGTAGGCACTGAGGAAATAGTGATTAATAAGAGAGAATGCCTTGCTCTCACAGAAAAAAAAAATTATAAAGATCTATTATACATATAATGTAGTTAATTTCAAATTGTGGCAAATACTGTTTAAAATAACTGCAGAGAGATTAATGATGTTGGGATGCTCATCGGAAACTCTCTAGGAGAACATTTAGAAATAGGTATCCACTGCACGTAGAAGATTGCTTTGTGAAGAACTGGGGAATCTTTCCAAGAACGTTAGATTAAAAATAGATAAAAACCCAGGAGATTATAACACATCTAGGTTTCTCAAGAACCATAAATAAGTGTAGTGTGATTGGGATATTTAATAACAAATGTGAGGGACAGGAGACTTGGTTGTAGTGATAAGACAGGGCTTTGTAAACGATGATAAGGACTTCAGATTTATTTAAATAACAATAGAAGGCATTGGAAGTAAATAAATGAAGAACGTGATACAATAAATGAAGAATGTGATGCATTCTAAATAAATGAAGAATGTGATACAATACTATATTTGTATTTTATAAATAGGATTAATTCCTATAAATAAAGAGAATAATGCGGTAACATTAGAGATAATTTAAGAAGCTAAAGTCCCATAGTAAATGTAATCTCATCCTTCACAGGAAGAGTTCAAATGAGTAGAGATGTTTCTCAAGAGTTACATGAGTAGAGATGCTTCTCCCAAAGTGTTGGGAGTGAATAAAAGCAGAAGAATCTTTATCAGAAAACTAATACAGATTAACCTTCAAGACCACTCTCTTACATGGGCCCATGAGGGGGCATTAATAATGTACTCACGTGAGCATGTATTTTTTATAAATTTTGCAAAATAACCTATTTATCTGCAATTAGCTAACATTACTATTTCTTTCTGTCCACCTTTTTCTCACAATCACATTTCTCTTATATCAGATGGTGCTAGAATAGCCACAAGAATTTATGTATGCATATAAGGGGACTTTGGCTGAAGGACACTTTGAGTTTGGCTTTCATGCTATATGTTTATGTGGTTCACATTCAGTACTGACTTCCAGGAATATTTGCATGCACTGTACTCATCTTATTACAAAAAGGATATTATTCAATAAATACATTATAGAGTAATGGAAATTATTTGTAAGGTTAATTGTAGGCTAGGAATACATAACTGATCTGAAAAAAAAGTAGAAGAAATGTTGAAAGTTGAGCTACTAGAAGGATAAAAGTCTAAATACATATATGAGAACGACTTAAGTTTGCAACAGTGATGTGGAATTGATTATTTTTAAGAGATTAATTTTGATAAAAAATTAGGATTTACTCTTTAAGAATGAAGAAAGAAGGAAACAGAGGGTGGAAATTTACTGAATTATAGATTTCAATAAATAATTTAATAAATTATATAACTTACTTGTTTTAGGACAGTCTCTGCTATGCGTCCCTACCTTTTCAGATAAACCTATGAGAAAAATATAGCTATAGGCAAGTTCTTACCTCTGGATTCCCTAAAAAGAATATTAGTGTCATATGGGCACTTAATTTTGCTCCTTCTAAAACTTCCCCCAAACTCACCTATCATAGTAATATAGTATAATATCAGAAACTACCAAGAGATACAGAATTAAGTGTCCCTTCTCTGCTTCTAATAAACTATAACATTTTGACTTCTTCAGTAATACTCAAGGCAATAAAAGTGAAAAAAAAAAAGTAACCAGTAGCTATTGATCACTCTGTGTGTAATCACATGAAGCTATATGGTTCTTTTTGCTCACTGATGGATAACTACCTGGAGCCCATAAATTACACCAAGTGTCATCTGTATATTTTCTGAAAGACAACAATAACAGAATTATTTTGTTTTTTGGAAAGAGAAGTGGTTCTACATTTTTGGTAAAGCAGAGTGATGTAGCGGGAAGAAAACATAACCCAGATTCACAAGCTCATATTTTCAGTTAGTAACCATTTATGTCACCATGGGCAAAATAGTTAGTCTTTGTGAACCTCAGTTTACCAATCTGTGCAGTAAAATGACTAGATTTATGTCTTCTAGGTTTATACAGCACAAAATTTCACCCTATGACTCAACTCTGCTGGAGATACAAAGAGTTAGTCATTATATTTTATACATAGGATTCAGTAAACTAAATAGACATCATTTTTTGTAGATTTACCTTGAGGATACTAGAAAGAATGAAGATAGTGCCAGAAAGTCAATTATTTGATATTTTGATAAAAGGACTCACTCACTGAAATAGTATTCTTTTCTTCATTTTTCAGAAACTAAACTATCATCATATACTTATCCTTTATATTCATTGGGGGCCATTTACATCCTTTATCCTAGGGGAATAAAAGGTTCTTTAAAATTACAGTTTTCACAAAGTACTAAAGAGGAAAGTTGAAAGAGTCAACACAGGAATATAGGTACCATTATCCAGAGAGTCATACAGTAGACTTCATTCCATCTGGTGCAGAATTGAGAGTACCAGCTGTCCATGTATGGATGCAGAAATAAAAGAAAAGTGGAAAATCTAGTCTTACATTGTGTTTGGAAATCAACAGATGCCCTTACAAGTAAACTATTTCAACACATTTCTATGAGAGCTTTATAACTTCTAGAATGGTGGCATATATATCAATGCAGACACATTCTCTAGTGAAACAGCATAACTAGTGAAAATGGTAAATTTATAAGCTTGCCGTTTATAAATCTCTAGAAATTACCCTAATGGAATACAGAAACTATAAAAAGAGCATTTATTCAAGCAAGTCGATCAAATCTTGCTAAGAATAGTGAATCTATGGCATTTGAGCCATGACCCACTCTTCCTGCTCACAAGCTCAGCATGCAGAATTTTCCACTTTTGCAGGTGTATCCAAGGACACAGGACTTCCTGTTCTCCCAGCAATGAGTCATGAGGTAAAGATCTCCCCCAAGAAACAAACCATCAGCCTTTTTTTATTTACCATCACTTCATTTGGCAGAAGTTCTCATTAAGGCAAGAACAGCTGAAAAGGCTTGGACTCTCTTCTTCCACCTAGCCCCATCTGTAGGGTGGAAGTTTCATCTTAGACATGGCAGGCTGAGTATATGAAGACACAAATAGATCTCCTGTAGCTCATAGTAGGATTGAGGTTACAGGCTTGGAGAGGCAAGCCCTAAAGACCATAAGCTAGGGCCTTTGCTAGGATCCCACTTATAAGAAGTGTCATGCCAAGAGAAGCGGGTCGCTGTATCTATGTCTAGATCTGGAAAAGTGGCAAAGAGTGTTTGCGCAGGGAGAACCCCAAAGAACTGATGTTATTTGGGACAGAGTTGGGGAAAAATAAGCCCATTTACACTCTAGAACACAATGGTGGTAAAAAAAAAATTGAGAATAGACTGATAACTCCATAAGGTAACAAGCTAAACTTGATATAAATTAAAGGTTTACCAGAGAGAACTGAGAACTGGGGAAAGAGATTGCTAATAACAGTTCCTCACTGAGTCAGAACAAACCTCAAAGAGTAGCATAACGGAAGACCCACGAAGACGCACCAAAACTTTGATCAGACTGTGGAACAATTTCTATCTGAGGACATTGTGAAAAACAAGAGAGAAGCCAGTTGGGAAGTAATGAAAACTATAGCTGCATGTGATACTAACAGAGGTAGGTAGATTTACAGAAATATCACAGTGTACTTTCAAAAGCAGACCTGTGAACCCCAACATTATCCCAAAGTGACTGTGTGCAAGTCCAAGGCTATGACCTCTGAAGATGGCATCAGAGTGGGCACCCTGCTTGGGAAATATGCTTAACTAAAATTTTCCACCCAAGTCACTAAACAAATGAAGTAGGCAATAGCAACCACAACAAGCCCTAGATGAGGAGCAAGATGGGAAGTGGTAATAGAATCTGCAATTACTGTAATATGTTATCTAAAATATTAAATCTCTAATGACAAATTATGAGAAATGCAAATAAACAAGAAAGAGCAATGTATACCTATGAAATAAAGTAAAATCTGTCCTTCATGGGGCCCCAATCTCAACTCAGCAGACAAAAGCAAAATAGCTATTGTAAATTTTCAAAGAACTAAATGACACCATGCTTAAAAGAAAAAGAAAGATATGATGACAATACCTTATCAAATACATTATATCAATTAGAAAAATTGAAATTACAAAAAGGAATGAATAAAAATTCTGGAATTAAAAAGCATAGTAGCTAACAATTAGCTAGAGGGGCTCCACTGGCAGATTTGACCATACAATAAAAAAATAAAAGATTGGCCGGGGGCAGGGGCTCATGCCTGTAATCCCAGTACTTTGGGAGGCCACGGCTGGCAGACCACGAGGTCAAGAGATCGAGACCATCCTGGCCAACATGGTGAAACCCTGTCTCTATTGAAAATACAAAAATTAGCTGGGCATGGTGGTGTGTGCCTGTAGTCCCAGCTACTTGGGAGGCTGAGGCAGGAGAATCGTTTGAACCCAGGAGGTAGAGGTTGCAGTGAGCCGAGATAGTGCAAATGCACTCCAGCCTGGGAACAGAGCGAGACTCTGTCTCAAAAAATAAAATAAAATAAAATAAAATAAAATAAAAGATTAAGCAAAAGGCATAAGTCGATCAATGTAGGTTATGCAATCTAAAGAAGACAGGAGAAAAGAATGAAGATAAGTGAAGGGAGTTCCAGAGAAATACACCAACATACACATCATAGAAGCACAAAGGACAAGAGGGAGATAAGAAGCAGAAAAAAAATTTGAAGAATTATAGGGCAAAACTTACAAAATTATGATGCAAACATTAATTTATATACCAAAGAAGATTTAAAAAATGCTAAGTAGGAAAAGCCGAAGGGTTGTCTCGCCCAGACACAGCATAGTAAAAATATAGGAAGCTAAAGACAATGTCCCGAAAACAACAGAGAAAAATCACTCTTCAGGTAAAAGGAAACCCTAATAAAATAACACCTAACTTCTTAGCAGGAAAAACAATGGAGTCTAGAAATCACTGGGAATACATTTATAGCAAAGAAAGTTAAGGCTATCAAGTATCTTATCTGCAGAAAACTATCTTTCAAAAATAAAGACAAAAAGGACATCACTAGAAAAATTTTAACAGACAGAGATTTTGGCAGGCGCGGTGGCTCACACCTATAATCCCAGCACTTTGGGAGGCCGAGCTGGGCGTATCACAAGGTCAGCAGTTCGAGACCAGCCTGGCCAATATGGTGAAACCCCCATCTCTATTAAAAATACAAAAATTAGCGAGGTGTGGTGGCAGCACCTGTAATCCCAGCTACTCAGGAAGCTGAGGCAGGAGAATCACTTGAACCCGGGAGGCAGAGGTTGCAGTGAGCACACCATTGCACTCCAGCCTGGGTGACAGAGTGAGACTCTGTCTCAAACAAAACAAAACAAAACAAAACAAAACAAAACAGAAAAACACAGAGCTTTTGCTGCTATTAGATTGGCTTTAGAAGAAATAGTAAAGGATATTCTTCAGGTTGAAATCAAGTGACTCAAAACAGTAATTCAAATACATACAGAAAGTAAAGAAAATGGCTAAGGTCATTTGATAATTATAAAAGACAGAGATTAATACACTTGGCAATAAAAACAAGATCCAACTCTGCTTTCTAATGGAAACACTTTAAATAAAAAAAATACAATTAGGTTAAAGGTAAAAGGATGGAGCAAGCTTTATCATGCAACCATAAGGAAGACTGAGTTACTATAATAATTTCAGTCAAAAATAGACTTTAAATTGTTTATAAAAGTTACTAGGAATTTAATATTATCGAGACATGAAAATGAAACACAGACACATGCTACAACAGAGATGAATTTTGAAAACAGTATGCTAAATGAAGGAAGTCAGACCTCCAAAGACCACATATTGTATAATTTTACTTATATAAAATATTCAGGCTGGGCGTGGTGGCTCACGCCCTATAAACACAGCACTTTGGGAGGCCGAGGTAGGTGGATCACCTGAGGTCAGGAGTTTGAGACCAGCCTGGCCAACATGGTGAAACCCCGTTTCTACTAAAAATACAAAAATTGGCCAGGCCTGGTAGCGCACACCTGTAATCTCAGCTACTCGGGAGGCTGAGGTGGGAGAATCACTTGAACCTGAGAGGCGGAGGTTGCAGTGAGCCAAGATTGTGCCACTACACTCCAGGCTAAGCTACACAGCGAGACTCCCCCTCAAAATAAAAAAATGCAGAAGAGGCAAATCTATAGAAACAGGAAGATTCATGTTTGCTCAAGACTAGGAAGTTTGGGTAATTTTTGAATAACCACTAATGGGTAAGGAGTTTCCTTTGGAGGTTGTTAAAGTGTTCTAAAATTTATTGTGGGTGATGGTTGCTCAATTCTGAGAATATACTAACAACCACTGAACATTTTAATTAGGTAAATTATATATTATGAAAATTATTTCTCATTAAAGTCATTAAAATTTTATAAAATAAAAACATGTATTACCATCCTACAGACTATTTGTGCCATTTTGTTTTTGTTATTCATATATGACAGGGAATTTTTCTTGAGAATATCTCATTATATATATTCGACACTGTGGCAGATATGAAATACTATAGATAAGTATTAAAATAATTACAAAACGATAATGTCTATATGTATTACAATGTCAAGGAAGAAGACCATATAAAACAAAACAGTCAGGTGAGCATGTGTGTATGTATGTGTGTGTGTGTCCTATTAAGTGACAAGTAGTGTGACCCTGATTTACAGTTTTCTTTTGAGGAATATCCTGGTGAATACAGAACTGAAATTTGAAGTAGAAAAGAAAGCTAAGCAGCCAAGAGAGAATGAAGTGAAGTATTAAAATAAAATTACATTAAATCAGCAATTCTTTGGGAATATAGAAGTACTGGAAATCTGTATTTGCCCTTAGATATAAGCACAAACAAAAAAGGTCATTAACAAACGGAGAAGAAATCTATAAACAAATGTGAACTATTCATATTAAGTGTATGAATAATCAGTGATCCGTTTTATATTACAACAGAGCATGAGGGAACATAAAAGAATTTGGGGAACATTGATAGCATTGTGCAATAGATAGGAAATAGAAGATTCTAGAAGACATTATTGGATTAATTTAGATGTTCTAAGCTAATATATACACAAAATGGAGTGTAAAGTATGTATGGAGTGTTTAAAATAAATACACAAATTATTTGATACTTCTTTTAAGAGTTAGAATCTAATTTCCTTCCTACTAAATATAGGATTGAGTTAGTCACCCAATTATTAGAAACATAATGTGGTTGAAGGGATGCTCCATAACTTCTAAGACCAGGTAAGAAAATGTGATATCCTTGACCTTCAAACCAGGTCATCACACTACAAGAAATTCCTGGTTATAGGTAGAGGTCACATTTATATAATTTAACCAATGGTCTCTACTGAGGACCCAGCTTATTACCATAATTCCTAGTCAGGCGTAACATTAAAGAAATCTTTAAGGTGACTTCTACCCCAACTACCATTTGACTGCAACTGTAGATAGTAACACTCTACTTTCAAAAGTTAGAATCATAAGTTCCAATGTACTATACTAAAATTTAACATGCTGCTATCTGTATGTAGGAGATATATATCCTTTTTGCCTCATCTGAGGTGGGAATGAAGAGAAAGTTACAAGAAGAAGCACTTGTGAAGGTTATAGACAAGAAGCATAAACCCATTGAAAGACAGATTTAACAGGCATGTTCTTTCACCATTCATCATACATTAGCATGACACTAACAAGGCTCTAGTATAATAATAGTGGATTATAGATGAAAGGGCCTCAAGACGCAAACTCTTGAAAGGAAAACTTAGAGAAGTTAAGAGTGGAAACAAAAAGACACTAGAGGAATTTGAAATCTCCGGCTTCATGACAGAAAATTTGCAAGCTAGAAAAAAGAAAACTACAATATTTAATATGTTAAACATTTTTTAAAAGTTAACCTAGAATTATCTAACTACTAAAATTATTATTCAAAAATGAGGTCGAAATAAAAACTTTCTCAGAAAACTGAAATTGGGGGAATTCATCAGCAGCAGACCTGTGCTGCAAGAACTATTAAAGAATTTTCCTCAGCTGGAAAAGTTTTGATATTAGTAAAAGTCTAGTATCTACGTAAAGAAAGAACATCAGAGGAGGAATAAATTTTAAAAATATTTAAAATTATTGTTAACTGACTAAAAGATAAATATTTAAACTAATAATAATAACAATGATATTTTGGATGATTATAGCACAGTAAGTGGATGACAGCAATGTCACAAAGGATGGGAAATAGAAAATGGACATACTCTGTTACATAGATGTAACACTGTGTTATATGTACTATAAGTAAAGCAGTAGAGTGTTATTTAAAGGAATACAGAATAGTTTAAAATACTGAAATTCCTGAAATTATCTTTATAAAGCAATATACTTAATATGCTAAGAGAGAATAAAAATAGAATTATATGTAACCTTACAAATATGGTTGATCTATCTATCTATCTATTCATATCTATCTCTATTTCTGTATACATACCTGGCTATGTATCTCATATTTATTTAAGTACATTAAGTATAAATAAGTTAAAGAAACTAATTAGAAAGATTCCCAGAGTGGATGAAATTTAGACTTAATTATATGTTGTCTGTAAAACCCACTTTAACTATAAGGATTTTTTTAGGAAAGGAGAAAAGGGATAAAAGATATCATAATATGATGACTAATTTAAAAAGGAGTAGTTGCTCCATTAATTTCAGACAAAGTGGACCTCAGTTCAAGAACAGTCATCAGGAATAAAGAAATAGTGACATAATCATATGTGATCAATTTTCCATGAAGACCTAGCAATCTACAATATATGCATCTAACAACAGGGCATCAATGGATAGAAGTGATGGACATAATTTGAAAAAAAAAGTGCAAGAAAAAAATGGACTAATTGACCTGTATAGAGATTTCAACATCTCTTTTTCAGTAATTAATAGAACAAGTGGGCAGAAAATGAGTATTGATTATCAATTAACGTAATTGTATTGGCATTTATAGAATACTTCATTGAACAACAACAGAATACATATTCTTCTCAAGCTAACATAAAACATTCACCAAGACGGATCACATTCTGGGCCATTAAGCACACCTTAACAAATTTAAACTATAAAATTATACAAACAATGTACACAGACCATAATGAATCAAACTAGGAATCAATAATATAAATATAGCAGGAAAATCCACAAATAATTGGAGACTAAGCATCATACTTCTAAGTAATGCAGAAGTCCAGGAAAAAGTCTCACAAGAAATATTTTAAAGTTGGAACTAAGTAAGAATACAAATCTAACTTATTGAACTTTGTGGGATGCAGAGAAAACAGTGCCTAGAGAGAAATCCATTTCATTAAATGCCTATATTAGAAAAATATTTCTTAACTCAATAATCTAGCAATTTATTTCACTTTCAAAACACTAGTGAAAACATAACAATTTAAGCTTATAGCAAACAGAAAGAAAGAAATGATATAAATTAGAGCAGAGAACAATAAATTAAAAACAATGACAAAAAAATTAACACAACTAAAGGCAAGTTCTATGAAAAGGTAGACAAAATTGATAAAACTTTAACCAGTCTGACAAAGGATAAAAGAGAGAGAGAGCAGCTACAAATTACCAATATTGTAAAGGAAACAGACTCCTTCAATGTACACCTCACAAATGACATTAAAAGTATAATAAATGAGCACTATGAATAATTCTATGCTCACAAATTTTATATATTAAATATACCAATTATTTGAAAAGCACAAACTCCCAAAACTCCCACAAGGAGAAACAGATAATCTGAATAAATATGTTCAGTCAAGATATTTAATCTACAACTAATAACATTTCAAAAAATAATAAAAGCACCAGGTTCGAATGGCTTCACTGGTGAATTCTATGAACAATTTAAGAAAAAAATTACAACATTTTCTAACAATTTATTCTAGATTATAGAAGAATAAGTCATATTTTCTAAGTCATTTTAGAGGTCACAATGAATCAACTGCCAAAATCAGATAAAGACATTGTAAGTGAAGAAAATTTCAGACTGATAATTCTCAGGAATACAGATCCACAGTTGCTCAACAAAATGTTAGCAAATTGAATTTTAAAAATGTATAGAAATAATTATGCACCACAATCAAGTGGGATTTGTCCCAGGTATGTAAGGCTGATTCCTTATTGAAAAATCCGTTAATATAATTCACCATATCAAGAGCCTAAGAAGAATAAAAATATTATAATATCAATAGATGCAGAAAAAGCCTTTTGCATAACCTAGTACCCATTCATGATAAAAGCCCTCATAAATTAGCAATACAGGGTAGCTTCCTCAACTTTAGAAAGAACCTATAGCTAATATTATACTGAATAGTAGAAATGCTTTTCATCTAGGACTGGGAAAAAGGCAAGGGTGTTTTATTTCACCCTTTCTATTCAATGTTGTGCTAGACAACTGAACTTGTACAATATAATAAGAAAAGGAAATAAATAGTAGACAGATTGTAAAGGAAGCAATAAAGCTGTCTTTGTTCAAAGACAATGTGATAGTCAATATAATAAGTAAAAATGGAAAATAAAACATTTGGAATAAGTAAATCAAGGTAGCAGGATACAAGGTTGATATACTAATGTAAATTATTTTCCTATACACAGGCAATCATATGATAAAAATTAACTTAAAATGGATCTTAGATCTGAAGGTAACACATGACACCTTAAAGCTTCTAGAAGAAAACATAGGAGCAAAATGTAGCAGGATGAGCTGCAGACAAGAACCCCTGAGACACCGAGTTGTAGAAGGAAAGGGCTTTATTCAGCTGGGAGTATCGGCAGACTCACGTCTCCAAAAACCATGCTCCCCGAGTGAGCAATTCCTGTCCCTTTTAAGGCTTACAACTCTAAGGGGGTCCACTTGAAAGGGTCGTGATCAATTGAGCAAGCAGGGGGTACATGACTGGGGGCTGCATGGACCTGTAATTAGATCGGAACAGAATAGGACAGGGATTTTCACGGTGCTTTTCCATAGTGTCTAAAATCTGTAGATAACACAAGCAGTTAGGTCAGGGGTTGATTTTTAACTACCAGGCCCTGGGTGTGGTGCTGGGCTATCTGCCTGTGGATTCCATTTCTGCCTTTTAGTTTTTACTCCTTCTTTCTTTGGAGGCAGAAGTTGGGCATATGACAATATGAGGGGTGGTCTCCTCCCTCAATCTAAGTGAGCTTGGATTTAATGATGAATTTTTAGACACAATAGCAAAAATATCCAGAAAAGAAAAACTGGTAAGTTGATTTTAATAAAAGTAAAAACTTCTACTTTGCAAAAGGAATGTTTAGAGTTGGAAACACAAGCCTCGGGCTGAGAGAAACTCTTTACAAATCAAATAACTGATAAACAGTTTGTATCCAAAACAGACAGAAAACTCCTATACTTAATAATTAGGAAACAAATAATAAAGTAGACAAAATATCTCGAGACATTGCCAAATAACTTATACAAATGGCAAATAAAAATATAAAAAGATGTTTAACGTCATCTGTCATTAGGCAATTCAAAGTTAAACCACAATTAGATACCATTACAACCTATTAGAATAAATAAGTTTCAAAAAACTGCCAATGCCAATTACTGAAGAACAATATAAATTCTCATTTCTTGCCAGCGAGAATACAAAAATCATACAACCACTTGGAAGACAGTTGGTCAATGTCTTACAAAGCAAAATATAATCTTAGTTACAACAAGTAATTGCACTTGTAGGTATTTATCAAACTGTTTCGAAAACTTAGGTTCACAGAGAAACCTGAGCAGTGATGTTTAGGAAAAGTTTATTAATAACTGTCCCAAATGAGAAACAGCCAAGATGTCCTTCAATATGTGTATGCATAAACAAACTGTGGTACATCCATATCAGGGAATGTAATTCAACCATAAAAAGTAAAGAGCTATAAAGCCACAGAAAGACACAGATGAATCTTAAACATTGCTTAGTGAAGAAGGTAGTCTGAAATGCTCTATGACGTATGGTTCTAATAAAAGACATTAGGCCAGGAGCGGTGGCTCACGCCTGTAATCCCAGCGCTTTGGGAGGCCAAAGCGGGCGGATCACGAGGTCAGGAGATCGAGACCATCCTGGCTAACATGGTGAAACCCCGTCTCTACTGAAAATACAAAAAAATTAGCCAGGCGTGGTGGCGTGTGCCTGTAGTCCCAGCTACTCGGGAAGCTGAGGCAGCAGAATGGTGTGAACCCGGGGGCCGGAGCTTGCAGTGAGCCGAGATTGCGCCACTGCACTCCAGCCTGGGCGACAGAATGAGACTCCATCTCAAAAAAAAAAAAAAAAAAGACTTTATGAAAATGGCAAACAGGCCGGGTGCAGTGGCTCCAGCCTGCGATCCCAGCACATTGGGAGGCCGTGGCGGGGGGATCACAGGTCAGGAGATCAAGATCATCCTGGCCAACATGGTGAAACCCCGTCTCTACTAAAAATACAAAAATTAGCCCAGCGGGTGCCTGTAATCCCAACTATTCTGGAGGCTAAGGCAGGAGAATCATTTGAGGTGGAGGCTGCAGTGAGTCGAGACCAGGCCACTGCACTCCAGCCTGGGCAACAGAGCGAGACTCCTTCTCAAAAAAAAAAAAAAAAAAAAAGAAAGAAAGAAAATAGCAGACCATGCAGACAGCAAAAGATTAGTGTTTTGCAGTGTTTTGTGAAGAAAAGGGAGGGTTTCATATATAAAGAATAGGGATTTGGGGGGAGATATAAAACTATTCTGCATGATACTTTAATTGTGGATGCATGACACTGTACATTTCTCCAAAGGCATAGAAGAGTGAACCTTCAAATATGTAAATTGTATGGGGTCATTTTGTAGGAGAGTGGAATTCCAGGATGAAATGCACAATATGACAAAACAATTTAACCTAATTAGGAATGTATGAAGCAACTTCACTAAAGAGGCTTAGGGAGGAAAAAAGGCTCACCAAAATGAGTAAAAATGTGATGGATCTATAAAAGTAAAGGTAAAAAATAAAACTGTTCATAATCACTGTACTCTAGTTAATAAAAGGTATTTCCTGCAAGGATCTGGATTACAAATTCTGATACTACAATACGTGTATACTGGAATTCAACAACTTAGTGAATATATCATGAATGTCTGGAACCAGCCAGTTGCAGTGGGAATTTACAGATAAGCAAGAGAAGGAGTCTAGAATTGCCCTTGTGGTCATGAGGTAGGGTTAAAGACATCCATATGAACTCCTACTTAGCTTAACAGAGATGTACATAGCTGCCCACAGACATATTTATAGATATGTGGTTAGCCTAGACACATATGTGTTCCTTCTCTGTCAGCTGAGATATTTCAGAATCAATGACACCTCACTAGTAACTAGCACACCCAGTGCCCATATCTTGGTTTATCATACCATTCTCCAATAAACAGAAGCAAAGCTTCTTAGAGAAATGACTGATTCTAGAATTAGGGTAGGAAATACACAAGATGAGCATGGAAGATCTTGTGGCCAAAGTAAGAAAATGCTGAGGGAAAGAGGAAGTAGAAAGAGGAGGGGGAGGAGGTAAAGAACAAAAAGGAAGAAGGAGGTAATGACAATGGCACATTGATGGGTTATGGACAGCAAAGGGAGACAGGACCTGAAAGGCCTCTCGATAAGCAACGATGGAAAATTTGAACATCAAAATAAATAAAGTAGTATCAGATTAGAACTCAAAGTATAAAATAAATATCTATTGGTCCATCCTGATATAAATAAATGACTGAATAAATAAATGGGGGAGCTTTTGGGGGAGGAGAAAAATATGTACAGAATAATTACAAATATTCACATAGATTTTGGACTCACAAAAAAGGTAGAGAAAGAGGGCAAGTAACTTTTCAGAGGAGAAAGCTGGCAACCATTACTTCAGCTAGGTATCAGGTCAACATCAACAGTTGTAATTCATGTTGACAGTGTATACCCTTGATATTCTATAATGGATATGGCACTTTATTTTTGTTGTCTTTCTCCCTATAATCTATAACTCTGGTTTAATAATGAGAAAAAAAGACAAATTATAATCTAGCTGCAGTTGATAAACTAATTTACCCTTGTTTCTCGGTCAGAATCATCAAAATAATAAAAGTCTGAGAAAATGTCACAGACAAGTGACGCCTAAGGAGACCTCATGCTGAAATGTAACATGATATCCTGAGTAGGATCTTGGAACTGAAAAAGTGTTTTACATACAAATTAAGAAAATTTGAATAAAATATAAACTTTTATTAATACTAATTTACCAACATTGGTTTATTAACAGTAACAAACCTGCCATACTAACAAGCTATGTTAAAAACAAAAGACACTGGGTGCCAGGTGTATGGGACCCTCTTTACTATCTTCTCAGTTTTTCTGTAAATCTTAAATTTTTTCTAAAAATAATAATTTATTAGAAAAAAATGAGTGTATTTTTACATTTACAGGAATGAGTTAATGAGTGTGGAAAGTCTGACAATAGGGAAGGAAAAGCAGAGAATATTCAAGAAAGCAAGCCACTGGAAGAGATGGTAGGGAAGGCAGAGATAAGAAAATGAGGTAAACAATAACTGAATTTGGCAAGGATAAAAGTCTATTCTTCAAAGAAATAAAGGAGTCATGTGGACTCCGAGAGAGAAGTGTAAAAATGCACTGGATATACATAAAATGTTCACTCTACTCATTTCTTTTTATTGATGTGTGTGAGGACTTCTGACTGGGTTGGGGGTAAATCAGAGCTTTTTTTATTATTTTTATTTTTATTTTTAGAGGGAGTCTCACTGTGTCACCCAGGCTGGAGTGCAGTGGTTTGATCTCGGCTCACTGCAACCTCCAATTCCCAGGTTCATGAGATTGTCCTGCCTTAGCCTCCTGAGTAGCTGTGGTTACAGGCATGTGCCACCAAGCCCAGCTAATTTTTGTATTTTTAGTAGAGACAGGGTTTCACCATGCTGGTCAGGCTGACCTCGAACTCCTGACCTCATGATCCACCCGCCTCAGCCTCCCAAAGTGCTGGGATAACAAGCGTAAGCCACCGCACCTGGCCAAAATCAGAGCTTTATAAATAGGTAAAAATCTATGTAGAAAAAGGAAAAAAAGACATTATGTAAACTTACAAAGAAAAAGGAAAAAAAAAGACATTATGTAGTTTTAAATAAGTAGCTAAATTTGGAAGAACAAAAGATTTTGCTGATAAGGTTAGGATATTTGAAGATATCATGACTATGAATTGGCTGCCCAAAATTCTGGCATAAATATTATTTAGAGAAAGTTTTCAAACCTGGAGATCAATATTTAGAGATTTTAAAGACTGTGTTAATTTAACTAAATTGAATTTGCAAGCATATGCCCCAAAGAGTTTTATAATTTAATAAAATAGTTCAATGGATAGTGCTAGGTTGTAGAAAATTAAAGCTGAGTAGCAAAAAAGAAAAAAAAATAAGAACAAAAGGCTAAAAGAGCAAAACGATCTTTGTCTTAAAGGACTTTGTAATGGAAAGTCATGCAATTAAGCACATATATTTAAAATCCCCACACACCCCTTCAATAGAAAACGCAAATATATGAAACAAACAAAAATTGTAACTACAAACCACAAGGGAAGATCATATTGCCATGTGGACTTAAAAAAAAAAAAAAAAAAAACAAAGACAACCAATTCTGTTTGGTTGGATTAAGAAAGCATTTTTGGAGAAGAAAGTATTTTAAATTAATGTTTAAATATGAATAGTCTTTAAAAAGATATGGAATTGGAGGCCGGGTGCAGTGGCTCACACCTGTAATCCCAGCACTTTGGGAGGCCAAGGCAGGCAAATCACCTGAGGTCGGGAGTTCGAGACCAGCCTGAACAACATGGAGAAACCCAGTCTCTACTAAAAATGCAAAATTATCTGGGGGTGGTGGCACATGTCTGTAATCCCAGCTACTCGGGAGGCTGAGGCAGGAGAATTGCTTGAATCTGGGAGGTGGAGGTTGTGGTGAGCCGAAATCGGGTCATTGCACTCTAGCCTGGGCAACAAGAGCAAAACTCCGTCTCAAAAAAAAAAAAAAAGATGTGGAATTAAGGTACATATTTTTAATCTATTGAAACTAGGGGAGACATATTTGGAAAAAAGTAACCAATTAACAAAATCTAGACTGGCTAGACTGAGTGTAGAATAATCAAGGGTCAGGGAAAAGGAGGGAGATTAATAAGTTGGTTTGTGTGAGAAAGAAATCATTAAATAATGATTTGAATAGCTGCTGGGTACAGAAACAAGGGAAGAGATGAGAGAAATATTGTGGATTGATCTAACATGACTCAGGCCAAATTAGTATACAAGAAAAAAATAAGGAAGACTAAATGATGACTTTGATTTGTAATTTAATTGTGAAATAATTGTCTTTAGGCTATTACATACGCATTTCAGAACAAGAGTGATAAATATAGCCTTGTCTTAGAACACTCACACATCAGTTTAATCAGCACCATGTTAGCTGTGTAAAAATGTCACTCATATAGAAGTATAACTCTGCATCAGATTGTGAATGTTTATAAAATTTTACCATCTAAAAGTTTATTAAAAAATAGCAAATATCAATTTAAAACAAAAAGTCAAGATGATGTTCTTTTGTATCTTTTCTTGGTATTCTGAAATATTTTCAAATTAACTGATATTTAAAAAATTATAACAAATTAAAAATCTTTAAGATACTTATGCAAAATTCTGCTCTACATTAGTTGGTACTGGAAATTGCTCAGAAGCACCGCATGTTGATGAATTGCCAACACCTTTCAATTAATTAAATCACTATATTTGGCTCTGTCTCTGGTGGGTTTACTGCTTATCCCAAGCAGGTGTTGATGGATTAGGACATTCCTCTCTGGCTGATTCCTGATTAAATTTGGACAAAGGACCTGACAGCTGTCATGTCTCTGTTTCCCATAACTCTTCCCTCAAATCAGAAAGCACAGAGTCTGCTACATGAGAAAAGTGTGGAGAGCCATCTTGTGCAGGTAATTCTTAAGTTGGCTAGAAGCATGAAAATGCATTGTTTTAAGGTTTATTTATATAGAACAAGAGCAGAAACTTTAGAAAGCCTTATTTAGTGCAATTAAAAGTAAAGATATGATATTCATTTTTTATTATCCTGATTCTTTCATTCCATTAACAGGACAAAATGTTCTTATAGTCTCAGGATTCTCACCTTCAAGGAAAATATGCTTGAGGGCAAATACATAACTAATATTCACTCATGAATTATGACTCGGCTGCACTGCTTTCTAAGGTTTTTGTCCAGAGAACGTTGAAGAAGATAGGTTGGAACTCAGATCATCATCAAAAGAGAAAATTTTGATTTGTTCTCTCCTTCTAGTCTTCTAATAATTTAGAATAATGTTTCTGTGAAGGAAAATTATTTTAGAATAAAGTTTTTTTTATAATCTTTACATCCCCTCAGATCCATTTCTTATTTTTTAATGAGCAAGCATGAAACAAGTTATCACTAAATTTATAAATAATACCTCCCATATTTGTATCTGCTAATTGCTTTTGTTTTCTGGAAGCTGGTAGCATACTTCCTTTTGCAGCAAAAAGAATATGTCTGTTCATCCGCCCCCTCCCTCCTATTTCCTCTGCCCAGAGAAATACACAGTAGAGGTGCCTATGAAACAAGTGATGCAAATTGCCTTCTGCATATGTTCTTCCTTTCCTTGGTTTCACTGGACCTCATTTATCTCCTGCATTCTCTCTCGCTCTGTCTGTCTGTCTCTTCACTGAAAAAGCAATGAAGGTCACTGTGCAAGTACACCTAATTACATCATCCGAGGCCATAAAGAACTGAGTGTGGACTTTGGTTAAAATACTTAAAATACCTGCACACTTAGTACATGAAATCTGGCTTCTCCACAAGCTGCAAAAGTGACCAGGTAATGCTCTCTGGTATGTTTTGGCATGGTTGGGGTGGTGTTGAACTCCTTCTGGAGAAACTCTACCAACAGGATCAGGAAGGGAAATACCAGATTTTTTTTCTCTGTGTTTCCTACAGAGGACAATTTGGAGACACAGTATTTTTGTATAGCCTCTTGGAAGACAGCTACATGGTAGAGAGAGCACTCTTGTGCAGCAACTAGCTAAAACTCTCCACAAATTACAATGAAGCCCTAGCAAGTGCATTTGACTTCCATCTTCCCCACCTCGGTCTCTGCCTCCCTCATTGTCTATGTTCTGCAAATGCCCTACTGAAGAAATCAGTTACACTTAAGCCTTGCCTTGGCTTAATTTTCAAGGAAACTGGATTTAAGACACAAGGGCAGAGAAGCTTAGTTTCTCATCTAAGACAATTCTTTCACAAAATTGTGCTATGGAACATGTAAGAGAATTACCTACTCTAGTGTGAAAATCAGAGAAAGCTCCTTTGAGGAGGTGACAGATGAAGCAACATCTGAAGCATGATACTCAATATTATTTAATATATATACACCTGAGTAATTATGTGTTATATCTTTAAAACCAGAGAAGATGTGGACACAATTATGATTTGATTTTACTTTGATAACAAGTTATATATTTTATAAGTTTTTTCACCTAAAAGAATAAAGAAAAAATATTAGAGAGCATACCAGATAGATTATATGTATCATCTAGCACAAAGATTATAAAATCAGAGCAACCTTGATTAAAATTTCTGGATTCTCCAGTTTGTTAAATTCTCTGAAACTTTTTTAGGTTTTGTGATTGTGGGAAAATAATATTTAAATAAAATAATTTTATAGGGTCAAATTAAATTAGAAGTAAGTCAGAATATAGCAAATGGATAAATACTACAAATATTATTTTTGTCCATTCTCTTACATGGATGATCATGCTCTTCTTATATGATTATGAAAATTCTCCCCCATTAGTCACTTTTGAGCTTAGAAGACCTCTTATTTTTAAGGATTTGTTTAATCCATTCTGCAAATATTTTTGAATAACTACTATGCATGTGACACAACAGCAAACCAAACAAATAGAAATTCTTTTTCCTTTTGGCTCTTATGTTCTGGAAAACAGATCATTTATTGCTCTGTTAATGTCTTCCAAACCACTAGATTAATTTTCCCCAGCCTAAAATGTGCTCTATTACCATCCATAAACAAAACAAAAACAACCCATGTCTCCATTCTCCTCTAACCATCTAATATAAATTTGTTTTAAAGCCAAGTTTCTAGAGTCTGCAAATGTTAGTCATTTTTCTGATCTTCCATTAACTCCTCAACTTACTATAGTAGAACTTCTACCCTCTACGTTTCTAATAAAACTGTTTTCCCAGTTAACAAATTACCATTTATTTATTTATTTATTTATTTATTTATTTATTTATTTATTCATTCATTTTTTTGAGATGGAGTCTCACTATGTTGCCCAGGCTGGAGTGCAGTAGTGCAATCTCAGCTCACGGCAACCTCTGCCTCCTGGGTTCCAGCAATTCTCCTGCTTCGCCCTCCTGAGTAGCTGGGATTACAGGCACGCACACTACACCCAGCTAATTTTTGTATTTTTAGTAGAGATGAAATTTCACCATATTGACCAGGCTGGTTTCGAACTCCTAACCTTGGGATCCGCCCTCCTCAGCCTCCCAAAGTGCTAGGATTACAGGCGTGAGCCACCATGCCTGGCCATTTCCTCTTATTTTTAAAATATAATAAATTCCTTTCAGTTCCTGTCTCACTTGACCTTGCTGCACTATTAAATCTGTGGTCCATTAATTTATTCTTCAAAATGGCCTTTCTTAGTTTCTGTAACATTATTCCCTACTAGGTTTTTCTCAGTTCCCCTGGCATTCAAGCTAAATATTGAATTTCAATTTCTTTGACTTAGTCTATTTTGTTAAAAAGAGTGTTCCTGCCCCAGGCCCTCTTATCTTATTCAATGTATTAGTCTTGCTTCTGGAACTTGCCTTGTCCCCTGCACACCAACAGCCCTTTGCTGCACTTACATTACTCCATGCATATCTCAATCACTTTATATTCAGTTTTTTGTATTCGCAGTTTCCTCTTTCCAAATTTAGTGCCACTGCACTGTCAGCTTCTATAGTCAAGAACAGGATTTTTATCAAGTTAGCATTTTTAAATCCTAACATAGTTTTAAACATATTCTAAGAACTCAAGAAGTGATTTTAAATATAATCTTATTTAAAATGTGTTTCATGAGTGATTATTACCCATTCCCATGGTTTACACCTCCTACAACTTCTATTCTGATGGTTCTAACATTTATATTTTAGGCTTTTTATTAGAGAAGCCTCTTGGCATTAACTACAAAGGGCTCAGAGTTATCATTACAAAATGAGCTCAAATCTTGGCAATTTTCTTGCCTAAAATTTTTTATCATCTCTTCATCTTTCACAGGATATAACCTGAACTTCTCAGCGGAGAATATATGTTATTTATTTTCTGAAGAAAATTACCTCTGAATACAAATTACATGCAATTCCTGTTGGTTAATGTAATAGTCATTTTGATGCATCAACTTGTCTAGGCTAAAATTCTCAGTTATTCAATCTAATACTAATTTAGGTGTTGCTTTGAAGGTATACTTTGTACATGTGATTACATTCCATAATCAGATAATCATAATCCATTTATTTAAGAAATATTATCCTAGATAGTCTGGATGAACCTGATTCAGTCAGCGAAAAGGTCTTAAAAGGAGAGTTAGGACTTCCCTAGTGAAGAGGAAATTCTGCCTATGGGCAACAGCTTCGACCTATTTCCAGAAGATCAAGCAAGCTCTTCCTCATGGCCAGCTCCCACAATTATGTAATCATTTCTTGCAATAAATACCTTAGTATACTTCTCTTGATAGACCTAGAGAAACTTGACAGACACAGACTTTGGTACTGAGAGTAGTTTTGTGTGAGTGTGTGTGTGTGTGTGTGTGTGTGTGTTGTTTGTTTGTTTGTTTTTTGAGATGGAGTCTCCCTCTGTCGCCAGGCTGGAGTGCAGTGGTGCAGTCTCTGCTCACTGCAACCTCTGCCTTCTGGGTTCAAGTGATTATCCTGCTTCAGCCTCCAGAACAGCTGGGATAACAGGCGCCCGCCACCACGCCGGGCTAATTTTTCTTTTTTTTTTTCTGTATTTTTAGTAGAGACAGGATTTCACCATGTGGGCCAGGATGGTCTCGATCTCCTGACCTCGTGATCTGCCCACCTCGGCCTCCCAAAGTGCTGGGATTACAGGCGTGAGCCACTGCACCCGGCCAAGGGTTGTTCTAAATGAAGAAAATGTTAAGGATGAGGTTTGAATTGGCTCTGTGTGAGAACTGGTTTTTCTGATTAGATTTGAAGGCACTAATGATCCTGATTTTAATGGGAAAGAGAAAGTTTGTATGGTGTTTTGTGGCAACAGCGATACCCAAAATATTCTTAAAAGTATCCATTGGCTACACTTAGCCAAATACTTATGAGGTGATGGGTGGCCCCATATTTGGTGCCTTGAGAAAATTTTTGTCAAACTAGTGAAACTAGTGAGTATAGTAGACTGCCTTTTTTTTTTTTTTTTTTTTTTTTTGACAACGTCTCACTCTGTCACCCAGGCTGGAAGGGTGGAGTGCAGTGGTGCAATCACAACTCACTGCAGCCTCCACCTCCCAGGCTCAAGCGATCCTCTGACCTCAGCCACTTAGGTGGCTGGGACTAGAGGCATGCAACGCCATGACTGGATAATTGTTTATATTTTTGTTGAGACAGAGTTTTACCATGTTGCCCAGGCTGGTCTTGGTCTTGACCTCCTGGGCTTAAGTGATCTGCCTGCCTCAGCCTCCCAAAATGTTAGGATTACAGGCATGAGTCATCACATCCAGCCTGATGGCTGTTCCTAATTCAGCTGGACAAAGTTGAAAAAGAAAACAAGGAGCTGAGGGACTAAAATTCCTAGCTCAACCCCCATATATATGACATAGAAGCTATTTCGGCCCTGACAGAAACTCATATCCTATAACCAGAGGGCTAAGATTTCTGAAAACTAAACCTAGAATCTAATTCTCTAGCGGCTGAATCACAATATAATTTCTATTTTCAACATGGCAGGGTGTCTTCTGTTAAAGCGAGTGTATTGATTGAGAAGGACAGGATATCACAAATTGGAATTGAAACATAGGGGCAGGTCCTAATGAGCCTGGGTTATTGCACCTTCATATTCTGATAAGTCTTTTTTGCCTACAGATGCAACCCCTCCACCCTTGCCAGGGGAAGTTAGTCCTTGATTGCCTGATAAATCTCTAATGGCCTTTTCTGAGGTAGTTGCCTTAGAAGGCACTGCTGATTCTCCTCAGCACCCACCCTGTATCAGTCTGTTTTCAAACTGCTATAAAGAACTACCTGAGACTGGGTGAGTTATAAAGAAAAGAGGTTTAATTGACTCACAGTTCTGCATGGCTAGGGAGGCCTCAGGAAATTTACAATCATGGTGGAAGACAAAGGAAAAGCAAGCCACGTTTTACATGGCGACAGGACAGAGAGAGCAAAGGGGAAAGTGTCACACTTAGAAACCATCAGATCTCATGAGAATTCACTCACTATAAGAAGATGTTGCAGGGGAGGGGAATCCACCCCCATGATCCAGTCACCTCCCACCAGTTCCCTCCCTAGACACATGGGGATTCCAATTCAATATGAGATTTGGATGTGGACACAGAGGCAAACCATATCACACTCCATCATACCTCTTTGCTTTGAGACCTATAACTACACTCAAGTCTAGGCAGTCTCCAAAGAACAAGGTATACTACACACTGACAGGATTACATGATTTTGCCAAATTATACAGACAGAATCTGGAGAATATATCTAGAAATAGATTTTAAGAATGGGGGATTAACGTGGACCGAATTTAAAGTAGATTCAACCTAAATTTATTAATATGGGTTCCCAATAATGGACCCCATATTAATAAATTTTGTAAGTTGAAGAATTAGAAGGGCTCTAACCATTTGGGTTGTTGTCTGTTACATGGGCACAAGGTGAGTGATATTGTTCAGATATTTAATCCCTTCCATATCTGATGTTAAAATTTGATCCCCAATGTTGGAGGTGGGACCTAAAATGAGGAATTTAAGTCATGGAAGCGAATTCCTCATGAATGGCTTGGTGCCATCCTCAAGGTAATGAGTGAATTCTTGCTCTATTAACTCATGCAAGTGTCCCCACCCCCACGAGAGCTGGTTGTTGAATATAGCTTGCCACCTCCCTCCTCTCTCTTTTCCTTCTTTTATCACCATAGGGTCCTGTGATGCCGCCACTCCTCCACCTTCCACCAGGAGGGGGAGCTTCTAGAAACCCTCACCCAAAGCAGATGCTGACACTATGCTTCTTGTACAGCCCACAGAACTTTGTGCCAAATAAGTCTATTTTCTTTATAAATTACCCAGCCTCAGCCACAGGTATCCCTTTCTAGCAACACAAAGAAAATGGTCAACTCTAAGTTAAAAAATTAAAATTGTCTTTGTATTCTGTAAAAGAATGTAACCAAAGGCTTAGGGAAATGAAATGTTACAACGGATATATCAATTAAGACTTGCTTCTCTTTGGAGGAGTCCCCAGGACACTTTTCACCAAGGCAGTCAGTATTAAATTCATGAGAGAAGCTCCCAAATTTTTTGAAGCATTCTGTTTCTAATCTCCTTTGTAAGTGGGAAGTTACAGTGAGAACTGCTGGGTTCCCACTGAGCTAAAATCCCCAGTTGTAAAGGGAATAATAGAATCGCAGGGTGTTAGCATCAAATGGTGGCACTTAATCACCAAAGATGCAGTGGGTGCTGTTACCATGATGGACATCAGAACCAAAAGAGTAATCAGGATCGTTTGACCCATAAAGAGACCTGTAGCAATGGTTGTTTGATGTTACTGTTCCTAGAAAATAGACAGATACTATAATGAATTCTTCACTAGTTTGCATAATCCGAATTCTAGGTCTAGTGAACAAAAGACTGATTTGAGTCCTCAAAACAAATTTAGAGTGGTAATCTCTCCCAGCCTCTCCAAACTAACTCACAGCCTTTGAGTGGGGTGACTGTGCATTGGGGAAAGGGAAATGATCAGACTTTTTATTGATTACTGAACACTAGTTCTCAGCTGATAACTAATTCCTGGAGACATTACTATGGTTCAGTATTCAGAATAAAGGTTTATGAAAGTCAGGTGATTAATGGAGTTTTAGATTATGTCCCCAAACCCATCACATGATTATTTTCCCAGTGTCAGAGTGCATAATTGAAATAAACATACTCAGCAACTGGCAGAAGCACCACTTTCATTCCCAGACTTGTACAGAGGGCTACTATGGTGGGAAATGTTGTGTGGGAACTCCCAGAATTATCTCTGCCTAAAACAAACAAACAAACAAAAAACAGTAAGTGAAAAGCAACACCACATTCTGAATGGATTATAGAAACTAGTGCATTAAGGACTTGAAAGATGCAGAGGTGGTTATTCCCACAATATTTTCAACTTACCTATTTAACTTGCCTATTTGGCCTGTGCAGAAAAGAAATTGATCCTGGAGAATGACAGTGAATTATTGTGAATTTACTCAGGTGACTCTAAGTGTAGCTTCTGTTCCAGATGTAGAATTTGTTGTTTGGACAACATGTCCCCAGTTACTGACATACAACTATTCATCTTGCAAATGCTTTTCTTTTCTTTCTATCTCTTGGTAAATACCACAAGACGCTGTGTTTTTTTTTTTTTTTTTTTTTTTGGTTGTTGTTGTTGCTTGTTTGTTTGTTTTTTAAGGTGGCGAGACCAACCCCCCAAGGGGATATAAACTCTACAGCCCTTTGTAATAATTTAGTCTGCAGAGACCTTGATCATTTTTCCCTTCCAGAAGACTTAATATGGATCCTTTTCATTGATGGTATTATACTGATTGGACTTGGTAAGCAGAAAATAGCAACTACCTCTAGACATATTTGTATGAAGCTTGTATGTCAGAAGGTGAGAAATAAATCCTACAAAAATTGAGGGGAATTTTACCTCACCAAAATTTGTTGGGGTTCAGTAGTGGGGACAATGTTGCGATATTCCTTTTAATGCAAATGATAGGTTGTTCCCTCTGGTCCCTCCTAACACACATACACACACACACATACACTCTCTCTCTCACACACACACACACACGAGGGAAAAAATGCCTAGTAATTCCCTTTGAACTCTAGAGACAATATATTCCTCATTTGAATGTTTTACTCTGCTCCGTTTATTGCATAACCCCTAAAAGCAAACTTTGAGTGAGGCTTAGACAAAGAGACGGCTCTGCAAAAGGCTCAGGCTGTCATTAAAAATGCTTTAAAACTTGGGTTGTAAGATCCAGCAGATCCAGTGATACTTGAAATGTTAGTGGAAGACACTAATACTGTTTAGAGCTTCTGGTAGGCCACAATAGTTGAATCACCATGAAGGACCTTAGAATTTGGGGAAAAAAGTCTTGTCATCTTATGCAGAAAACTGCTCTCCATTTGAGAAACGTTTTTTGGCTTGCTGCTGGGCCTCAGTGGAGATGGAAGCCTGAGTTGCTCATCATGAATAGGGTGTGGTCTGGTGAGTCAAGCCATAAATATGAGCATGCACAGCAACACAGCATTATCAAATCAAAGTGATATACATGAGGTAGGGCCCAAGCTGGCCCCGAAGGAAGAAATAGGATGCGTGTACAAGTAGAAAATTCACCCATGTCCCCTTCCTCTCTTGCACTGTTTTCTCTTCCAGCCCATACCTATTGCTTCATTAGGAATTTCCTATGACCAGTTGACAAAGGAAGAGGAGACTTGAGCCTGGTTTATACTTGGTCCTATGTGACATGCTGGCACTCCTGAAAGTGTACAGCTGAAGCACTACAGCCCCTTTCTGGGATATCCCTGAAGGACACTGATGAAGGGAAAGCCTTCCAGTGAGCAGAAACACCTTATATGACTCTGGGGAAATCTGTAATACCATCTATATAAGTAAAATTTATAAAATAAAATCAAAATGTAACATAAAAATATAAACCCATTGCACTTACATTTGGGGAAGATGATTTGAGATGACACCCACAGCATTTAAAACAACATAGGTTACCTTGTAAGCATGTAATATCTTATAATATTTGCTATTATCGTCTCTTATTATTGCTTGAGATAATCTTAATATTAAATCTTAATATTAAGTAAGATTCTTGATTCTTCTTAAATAATACAGTTAAAAATCTGTAGTTTTAGAAGTACTTAAATATTAAGAGAAGAAGTTTGTGAATTGGTAGATGGTACCAACCACTTAAATTTCACACTGAGGGCTGCTAGGCTGGAGCAGTTTTCCAGATGTTAGCCAAACATATATGGTTCATAAAATTGAATACTACATTTGAATGAGCAATTCAGCATTACATAAGTTCATTTAAAAAGCTTTAATATGCAGTCTAATTTTGAAAGATGGAATATCTATACTAAGTGAGTCACCAACTTTTTTTTTCATTTTGGGTGCACCAAACATATCTATAGCACCATAAAGTGTTATACAAAAAGAAGAGAAAAATAAATACAAAATTGAAATGCCTAGCAGTTTGAATTAAATCAACAAAGGATAACTTAAAACTGACATCCTTTTAAAATACCATTATAAAACAAGAATTCATAACAGGAGTTAGAAATGTCAACTGCAAAGAATGAATTTCTTTGCTCTTGTCAATATAACAAAAGGCCTAAAATATTGTTTTGAGTACATTCAATCTTTTGGTATTTAAAAATATCTCAATGGATGGAAAATTACTATTTTCCTAATTTAAAAGCATATTATACATATATTCCTTATGCTCTCAATTTATTGATAACCCACGGGCATTTTGCATATCTCTGTAGATTTTTGACAGGTATTGTTAACAGTTGAAATAATCTGCTGGGGTGTGAGAGACTTAAAAAAGTTTTCTTTTCTCTAAAAAAAAGACATGTGGAAAGAATATGTTCTCTTCTCCTATGGCCTTAGATTTTCCCATATGAAGAATGAATTATTAAGAGCCAACCTGTGAAGAATGGCAGAGGAGAATAATTGATATAATCTATCTGTAGTAGTCCATTCTCACACTGCTATAAAAATACTACCTGAGATGGGTAATTTATAAAGGAAAGAGGTTTAATTGACTCACAGTTCTGCATAACTGGGGAGGCCTCAGAAAACTTTAATCATGGAGGAAGGCAATGGGAAAGCAAGGACCTTTTTAACATGGTGGCAGGAGAGAGGAGTGAAGAGCGAAGGGTGAAGAGCCCCTTATAAAACCATCAGATTTCATGAGAACTCACTCACTATCAGAAGAACAGGATAGGGGAAAATGGCTCCATGGTCCAATCACCTCCCACCAGGTCTCTCCCTAGACACTTGGAAATTATGGGGATTACAATTCAAGATGAGATTTGGGTGGGGACACTGCCAAACCATATCACCCTTCCTTGAGGATGTTGATGATTTCTTGATGATCTTTATGAAGTTTTAGTTAAGTAGCCATAAAATTGCTCCCTTCTTAAATCTTCCTGTTAATTGAAATAATAAATTTACCTTATTTTAAAACACTTCTTGTCATTTTTTATTTCTTGTTACATGATATAAAGCATCCTAAATGACATATACTCCAAGAGACATCCGAGTCTGGATGCTAAAACTCATCTCCAAGCTGCTATTATTCTTGGTTTTTGGAACTTATGGTCATCCATAGCTACAACCTGAAGCCAGAATTGTACCAGCATCTGAGATATGCACAGAAGATATTCTGGGACACTGGCCAGCAAACTTAGGGGGGATTGGGCAAGAAAAATAGGACACAATTTTGTGTGGGTGTCCATAATACCAAACTTTGTGAAGCTTACTATAATTTGGTGGCTGGATTTTCTAGGATTTTGATTTCAGAAACATTCTAATAGAGATCTTTAAGGTCAAGTTGATAATTCTTGCTTATTTTAATATTTTGATGCTCTGGGAAGGAAGTGAATTTATGACTGGGCAAAGCTAACTCTGTTCTTTAGAAAACAATGTTATACTTAGCCTGAGCATACACACATTTTGGTTTTCTAGTTACAGAGAAATATATAACCTATAATAGGTGTATGTTGCAAATGCATTTTAATATAATTTGGTGTAAGATCTTGGCTATTGGCTCTACTGACCTTTTGTCTCAGGTATAATATTCTGGGGCAATGTTTATTGAATCTCAAAACTACTGTCATTTTAAATCCCCTTATCAGATGTTTACATATTTGATTTATTTCCAGGATATAAAAATTCAATTAAATTTTGTACATTAACTTTGTATTATGTAAAGTTTAAATTTACTCGGTTCTAGTAATTGTTTATTTGATTTAGGAAATTTTTTTATCTGCTTTTCTGACACCTAAAACTACTAAAAAAAGACTTTGAGGAAAATTTTATTTTCTTTGCCTGAATGCTACTATTTCTTTATATTTGATATTCAATATAGCTTCACAAGGCTAGGTCTTATGATCAATCTTATAAAGGAGCATTTTTCCCCTGAAAATTGATTGTTCAAGCTACAGATAATGTGTCCCTTTATTTTTTCCTCAGTTCTTTCATTCACTGTACTGATCACTTTTTCCTCATCATTCATGCTTTTTTTGTTTGTTTTTTTCCAAGACCGAGTTTCACTTTTGCCACCCAGGCTGGAGTGCAGTGGCACAATCTCAGCTTCTCAGATCACTGCAACATCCGCCCCCCCGGGTTTAAGCAATTCTCCCGCCTCAGCCTCCCTAGTAGCTGGGATTACAGGCGCCCACTACCACGCCCGGAAAATTTTTGTATTTTTAGTGGAGACGGGTTTTCACCATGTTGGCCAGGCTGTTCTCAAACTCTTAACCCAAGGTGATCTGCCTGCCTCGACTTCCCAAAGTGCTGGGATTACAGGCGTGAGCCACCGCGCCCGGCCTCATGTATTTTATTATATATATTTCTGGTTTCATTGTAAGAAAACCAAATAATAATAGACCAATTTTAGAGGAAAGTATAACTAAATAATTATGTTTTTCTTTATGGTAGAGTTTTCATTAAAAAAGAAATTAAAGGATTCATGTGGAATTAAAATTAATTCACCTAATTAGGTACTGTGTCTTAAATTTGTTCTCTATGCCGATTAAATAAAAGCTATGTAATATGTTTCAGAGAACTAAACAAAAATCCTATTTTTAAAACATTTAGGGTGAAGTAAAATATTCAAGAAAATTATCTACCACCATATCATTTCCTTTATCATGAGTGGTATAAATTTTGTTGCCTTGTGTTATGAAATGTACTATTGTCTGGACCACATCAAATAATTTTTTGACATATACCGTCTTTACCAATATGAAATATTAACGTATATCTTGTGTAGATCTCAACATTTCTTAACATATTTAAGATAATTATGGGAAGTCAAAAAACATGAATAATAATGTTGCACAAATTTTAACTTTTTTGATAATTTCAGATCTGGCTAAATTTATATTTAACTTGTTGAGTTTTTTTTTTATTTCTCCCAACCAAACTTTTTTATTATATACAATAAAAATTCAGTATAAATTTTTACATTTGTGACAACTCAGTGTTTTTCAGCTGCAGTATATTATAAAACTGAGTCAAATTCAAAGTGCTTCTGTCAGTTTCTAAATCTAGAACACAACACGAAGCTTTGTTTCATCCATAATACCTCCAGGAATTGTTTCGGTTTCCTTGAAAGTAATAATGTCTTCTTTCTTTTTTCTTGAATATCTTTTTTCAAAGTATACAATTCTATTGTCTTTAGTATGCCACTTTTCTGACAAATTATATAAAGTTAGCGTGTTTTCTTTTTATAGATTGAATCACTTTCTTGACATATTTTTATGCACAGATAGTCCTACTCCATTTTGTAATTGTGAAATAATAATATAAATAGGTTTTTTAATGCTCTTTTTCTGATTTATGTTGGCAGTATTTTTTTTCCTAAAATTCAAAAAGTGTATAATGTTCTAAATTTCATTGGTCTTTATTATTTTCCCTCTTCTGATTTTGTATCTCATATGACAGTACCAAACAATATGTCCAAATCCTTCCATCTCTGCTGAAATTAATACAACCTTTCCATAATCTTTTTTGAATTCTGCATCATGTTTAACATTAAAGGCAATGTCATTGTCAAGTTCCCGTATCATCTTTCAATTTGTACAAATTATTCTATGGTCTTCTACATTATATGAGTTTGTTGGTACTCCCAATATCCATGTAGTTAAATATTTGTTTTTGGTTTTGGGGGGTGCTTCAGCAAAAATTGTTCAACAAACTTGCATTATTGTCCTGTGGAGAAATAAGTTCTGTTTATGTATTGCACAGCATAGTGACTATAGTTAATAATTTTAGTTAAATTATAGTTAACTATACTATAATACTAAATTATATTTATAGTTACTGAATATATTATAGTGTATTTCAAAATAATTAAAGTGGGTTTTTAATGCCCTGACTACAAACAAATGACAACTATGTGAAGTGATGTACATGTTAGTTAGCCTGATTAGATTATTTCACCATACTTACATGTATCAAATCAATACATTGTGCCCCATAAATATATACAACTATTGTCAATTTAAAATAAAATAAAATAAATAGTAAACATCTAATTTTATTAAAATTCACTGCAGCTTTTTTGACACTTTAAGATGAAACCATATAATTTATTGGTACATGCATATACAAGTAAAATATTTGTGTGTATTTTATATGTGTCTATAGAAAAAGAAAGAGAGACAGAGAGACAGAGGGTTCCTATTAACTTACAGAAATCAGTAAGCTTTTTCTAAAGAAGAAATACATGTAAGAATTAGAATTAGAATTTCTAAATTTCAAATAAAGATGAAAAGATAAAAGATTTCAAGATGAGTCCACATAACTTTATGTGGAGATATATAATATTTTGTCTTATTTGAAAATGACATATTTTGTGCTTATTTAAATTTGTTACTTTTTTATGGAGCTAAGCAATTTTATTCATATTTATGTTTATGTTCATTTTTATTTATGCCACAAGTATAGTAGTTTTGCTTCTTTCTGTGCTAGTCATTTTACTAATCATTCCAAATATGTCACTTAATTTTCTTTTCTAATTTTTTAAATTCATTTTCTCATCTATACACACATATTCTGTCTTCCTTTGCATGACTTTGGACACATTTCTTCAAAAAATCTTGGAATTATTCATGACAAATATCTCAAATTAAATGTTTAATCTATGAACAAACCCTTAAATAGTTAACAGTATGTCTCAAAGCCAAAATCCATAGAATAGCCTACACTTATGCTACATAGATGATGCCACATATTTGCCCTTCCGCCCCTGTTCTTACAACTCTGATCTTGCCTTCTCTCATTTGAGACACCTTTGCTACTGCTCTTCATCTACATTGACTTCCTCATTGTCTCTGGAATACATCAAATAGCTCCTGCCTTAGGGCCTTTACACTTACTATTGTTTCTCATGGAATTGCTTATGTCTAGAAACCAATTGACTGATTGTTAAATACCACATTTTTTAGATGTATTGGATCCCTTTAAAATTATACCTTCTCTGCAAGTTTTTCCTTTTCCTCATTTTCATATTTTTTTTTTCTCTTTGGCATTTATACACTCGTATATTATGTATATTTGTGTAATTGTATGGGCTTGATACTTACTTGTATTCTGTGAGACAATAAGTTTTACCATGCTGAAAGTAGTTTGCATATATGATAGAGGAAATGAGGCTAAATTTATTTTAGGTGTTATGTAAAGGCCTAAGGCCATTAAAATTATATTCTAGTTATATGTTAATATCCAATAACCAAAAAAAATACAAAAAATGAACGGTTTCAAAACATGATATTTTTGAGTGAGCACACTTACAAAGTGATTCAAATCAGACTTCTGAATAATGAGGGCAAGCTGAAAATAAGCATCTAATTCATCGTCCTCCCCAAACAATTGACACTAGAATCAGAAATACATTTATCATGAAGCTAGTTAATCTTAAACTTTAGGGCATATAAATTGCATGAACTGCTTTCAAGATTCTGTATGAAATTTCCTATTTTATTTCTATTTTATTTATTTATTTATTTATTTTTATTTAAAGTCAATAAATTTTTATTCGAGGAATTCTATGTTGTGATTCTTCCACTGTCCATTAAGGTCACTTTAGATCCTCTAAAGAGCTGGAGTTAAAATTTATCTTCAAAAGATTTATCTTCAAGTTAGCCCTTTTTAATGAAACTGATACTTATTTTATTCCAGTTGTCCTGTCAGCCCATAATTCTTTTATTTTGGCTTCTGTCATCTCCTTTGAATATGGATATACGGATGAAGACTTAAAAATTCACCAAGAATCTTTGAGATCTAATTTCTTCAACCAATTTACTTTAGGGTCATTTTTAGTGTTGGTAGATACACCTGGTTCTCAATTTGACATCCTCTCTAAACATGAATGAGTTCAAGTCATATTCATTCTTAAGCGAGCTCACTCAAGAATAGTACAGACGTGTGGAATATGCCAATACTTAAGGTAAAAAAGGTCTTTCATACATTTAGCAACTGTCTTTTTCATACTTTTAACAACTGTCTTGTAGTTCTTTCCCACATATTTAACCATAGTCCTGTGGGTAAAATAAAACCACAGAGTTACTCTATGAGGCATTTCCAATCTATTCTTTTTTAAAATGGACCTCCTCCACAAACTGTATAATCTTAACGTATCACAAAACTAGAGTTGCTTTTGAGAGTAAAATAAATGTTGATCTTTAAGACAAATTTCTTATCTTCAAGGAATGATTGTTTAAAAAGTAATGAAATGTTGAACAATGAAAAGTAAATAAATTAGTAGTGAAATAAGCTATAAAATGGAAATTCTAAATTGGCAGTGGGGAAGATTAATAATCAAGTGTATATATTTATAATACAGAATACTTACAAGATTCATGAATTAAAAGCGTCTGATACCTCTGAAAGTAGTGATAACCCAGGGGTCACAAAATTAGGATAGTCACTTAAAACCTATTCAAGAATGAGCAGCATCCTGAGTTTCTTCCTCCACTGCATTCAGCCACATGTCTAACAGTCCCTCAAACAGAGAGAAGAATGCCAATTTGTTCTCTGGAGATGATAAAGAATAGGACTTATTAATGAGGGGAATTCAGACACTTTTGTAGGCAGAGGTAACAGGCCAAAAGCAGAAATCTTTATTATGCATGCAAACTGAAAGCCAATGCCCATCTTTATTTTCACCCTGTCCTCTACTATCAAACAAAGACCTTTCGGGAATAGTTCCCAGAGAAACTGACCAGCCCAAAATGAAATACTGAAGAGACTGTCAGTGAGGCCCCTCCTTAATGCACCATTCCTATGAACAGATTACGCATAAACCTATACATTGTTTCCAAAAAGAAAACAGTGTAGAAAACCCTTAATGAGATCATGAAAATAGGTCAGGACTAAAGAACATTTCCTAATTCAGGGTCCACTGAGGCCCTAAACCTGGGCAAGAATATAGACTTTTTCTAGGGCAGGAAGTAAAGAAAGTTTAGCACACTGGAGAGAAAAAGAATAACCTGCAATTTGAGAGAATGAAGGAGGAAAGTACAGACAGAGAGAGAGAGAGAGAGAAAATATGGATCACATAAAAAGATAAATAAAAATAACCTTATATTTCTGAACAACAAAATAGAAAGCCAAAAGTAATTAACAATAAAGAATTAATGCCTTTACTATTTTGAAGATAAATTATTTTCCATCTAAATATTACAGTCATCTAAACTAGTAATCATGTATTAGCATAAAATGAAAGTATTTTCAGGTTTCGATGTATCAAACATTTGTCATTCCACATATCCTTTTTTGAGGAGAGAATATATTGAGAATATTATTGTGTTTGTTAACTATTTTTTAAATTAATACATGCATACAATACATAATGATTAAATCAAGATAATTAGGATATTCATTACCTTAAATATTTATCATTCATTTGTGTTGTGAACATTTCAAATCTCTTCAACCTACTTTGACATGTACAATAAATTATTATTAACTATATTCAATCTACTGTGCTATCAAATACCAGGACTTACTTCTTCTATGTGACTGTATGTTTATACCCATTAACCAGCCACTCTTCACCCCACCCCTCTCAGCCTCTGGTAACCATAATTCTACTCTCTACCTGAATGATATCAACTTTTATATCTCTCACATATGAAGTGATAACATGTAACATTTGTCTTTCTCCACCTCATTTATTCTACTTAATACAGTTACCTCTAGTTCCATTCATGTTGTTGAACATAACAGGACTTGGTTGTTTTTATGGCTGAATAGTATTCTATTGTGTATATATACACCACATTTTCTTTATCCATTCTTCCATTGATGAGTACTTAGATTGGTTTCATATCTTGGCTATTGTGAATAGTGCTGCAATAAACTTTGTGTGTTAAGTAAGCCAGAGAGTACCCAGATTATGTACTGTTTCTGGGTATGTCTGTGACAGTAGGTTCTGGATGATATTAGCATTTGAGTTGGTGGCCTTAGTAAAATAGAGTGCCCTCCCCAAAGTGGTTGGGCATCAACCACTTTCACAAAATGTGAAGGAAGGAGGAATTCACCCCTTTTCCCCCTGCTTCCTGACTGAGCTGGGATATCTCATCTCATATTTTCCAAACCTTTGACTGAAATTTATATAATCAGTTCTCCTAGTGATGGCAGCAGCAGCCCGTCTGGAGCAGCTGCTGTGTGGACACCAGCTGCAGGAGGGGAGGTGCAATCAGGTCTAGGACTAGGTGGGAACCCCCTCAACTACTGAGTTGGCGGGGTGGGGCCCCATGCTCCTGGGTGCAGCTACAGCCACCCAGCTGCAGTTCCAGACCCAGCTATCCCTGTCCTCTCAGAGGCCCAGGAAGTCCCCTGCCTCTGCAGGCTTGAAAGTGCCTGCTCCCTCTCCCTGGCCTCTCCCCACTCCCAGTGCCTGCTCTGGGGCAGAGCAAAGTTGTGGCCAAGTCAGAGTGCTGTCAAAACCTGGCCAGGTGTGCATGAGCTTAGGGCAGTGCTGACATACCAGGCCCTGTCATCTTAACTCCCTCTGGACTTTGAGCACTGAAAAGCACAGGAGTGGGGCCAAAGGGGCTGAGAGTGGCTCAGCAACAGGCCTGTAGTCTCCTCTCTGTGTGGACAGCCTGGACACCATGGATGGCATGTTAAAGCAGACAGGTTCCTAGGTGGGAAGGAGTGGGTCCCTGGTGAAACCTCAACTTCAGGCCAATGAGGGCCTGAAGCCTAGGGGCCAGGTTTCCAGTCCTGGGTGAAGTCCATGGCTCAGAATGAGAACTTCATTGATGACCAATCAGCCAATCAGATCCACTGGTGGCTGCCCATGTATGCATCACCACACGCTTCCTCCATTTTGGAAACATAAAAACCCCAGACTCAGCCACACTTATACTCTTGCTAGGATCACCTGCCCACAGAATGGAGCTGCCCTCTTTGAGAGCTGTCTGTTGCTTGGTGAAGCTTCTCTTCATCTTGCTCACCCTCCAGTTTTCTGCTTACTGCATTCTTCCTGGTCACAGGATAAAAACTTGGGACCCACCAAATGGTGGTACTAAAAGAGCTGTAACACAAACAGAGCTAAAACACCACCCCACCACCACCACTTTCCATGTTGTGGGCAACAAGAAGGAGAGAAGAGTTGTGGCCCTTCTGGGAGCCCAGACCTCAGGGCTTCCTAAGCCAAGGCTGTGACACACTGTAACACCCTCTTTGGAACTCTGCAGATCCTGGCATCTCTGAGCTTTTGGGTGCCATCACATTCCCCTTGTCCAGATGCTTGTGCCGGCAGCAGAAGCCACTTGCAATACGTCTGGTCCAGCCACAACCTCACATTGGAGCCAGTGCCTGTGCTGGGGCCTGGAGCTGCCAACCCCACCACAGCCGGTACACTTGGCTGTGCACAGTGGCTGGACCCCATGCTCGCTTGCTCACACACCCCTCATCACTCTGTGCCTGGCTCACCCTTGGCAGACACGGGATCTAAGTTGATAGTGTGAGCTGACAGTAGCCTGCAAGGCCAGGTGGGCAGAACTAGCCCAGTGGACACAGGCGAAATCCAAGCAGAGGTGCCACAGGCCACAGAGGTTTCTAGCTGGTGAAAAGATGCCTTAATGATCCTGTGACACTAGTTCTCAGTGCTTAGATGGGGACTAAATTAAACCACTGGCTTTCATGAGTTTCTAGCTTGCAGATGGCAGATTCTGGGACTTTTCAGCCTTTATAACTGCATGAACCAATTCCTTAAAATAAATCATGACAGAAGATAGATGGATCTCATTCTGTCTAAACACACACATACACACACACACACACACACATACGCATACACACACACACACATTACAGCTGTGGAGTTCGTTCTGCAGACCCTGACCCCACAATGAATGAATGATGTACACTGACACAGATATTCCTCCTGTCAGTTCAGCTTAGGGTCCGGGCCCCTCACAGACATCAAGGAAGGTGCTGTAAAGAGTAGCAGCCACCACCATGTTCAGCCAGTGAAGCTCTTATTTATTCAGTATATATTAAATGACAAAGGTCTTGAGTAAACACCACTAGAAGGTAATTGACCTGGTTGCCCATCCCCCAAGTAGAGAGCAATTATGCACCTGCAGTTTATCAAATGTTGGTCTTAGGACCACATGAGTAAATGAGCTATTTAGATAAACTACTCTACATTCCTTTGTACCTACTTTAAGCTGTTTACTCAAGGTAGGATTAGGCTGCTTTCAGCCATAACCCTATCTTCACATTTTTACAAAACCTTCCAGCCTTCCAAGACGATTTGTCTCTATATCCTATAACTTCATCTTAAAATTTTTCCCACCAGCCTGACTGAACTCCCCCACACACACACCACAAACACACCCTACTGTTTCTATTTCTCTTGAGAAATCTGGCTGATATGATGCAGGCTACAGAAAATGAAAAATCTAGCAGAGAAGTGAGGTAGACCAACACCCCAGGAAGAGAGAAAGGCGATAATGTCCAGATATGCACATGGATAACAAGTGTAGAGGGCATTGCAGCAGATCAAAAGACTTTAGGAAAGACTTCTTTAAGAAGAAAGTTGTTAATTAGCTGATGTAAATGAACACATAAATATAAGATTTAGCAAATAGTAAATAATTTGTGACAGGAGTATTGATACACAGAAAGTTAAGCAAAAGAAGCTATAAAACATGTATTAAATGCAAGGGAAATTAAACATATGCAGATATGACCAAGTAAACCTATCTACTGTGTGGCTGTTTTGTGAATAGAAGTTACTACCTTTTAATCTCGATAGTCAATATTAGCCTCACCAATATAATTATATGTTCACTTATGGAGGATCATAGGTGGACAATTTATGTCTGTGTACTGGGGCTGTGGGAAAGAAAGAAAGTTAAATCTTCAACTTCTATGGTGAAAAGTCAATAGATAATGCCTGAAGGACCAATATGCATGTCCTCTGGAGACATGGAAGTAAATCACAAGAACTAAGCTAGTAGATTTGAAAACAGTTAACTGAGGAAGAGAAAATAAGAAATGAAAAACTGAAGATGCCTATAGCCTGCTTAATTTTTTTGATAAGCCTTATAAAATATTTGTCTCTTTAAATTACATGGAAGCATAACTTTGATAAATTGAATTATTATAATAATTGTAATCAGAAAGTACAGAGAATAACATCAGCATAGCTATATAAAAATCGTGAGTTGTACATAATTTTTCAGAGAAGATGTGCCAAGTGCAGTCAAAGTAACAATTATCAAGAAACTAGATGGAATAAAAGACTAACAAAATCAACTTTAACTTGCAACTAATTCATATGTGTAATGAAAAAATGATTATTCAATGAGAAATGTGGTTGATAAATAGAGAGAACTGAATATGCTTGTAAATTCTTTGATGATACATGGATATTGTATTTGGCCTGCAGTAGTGTTAATAAGACCACAAGAGAAATGTGGTGTGTAGAATTCCCTTTTAAGTACCAAGGGAATTAACATTTAATCTTTTTGATTTAGTCAATTCTCTCCTTTGTTCTTTTCACAAAATAAATCAATTTGTTTCAAATAAAGCTTAATATATTTTTATACAGTGAAGGTTTGTTTTTGGAATTTCTGTTTATCCTACTCTGTCTTTTGGCTTTTTGAATGCAATAGATTGAAGTTTCTTTTTACCCTCTATTTCTAACATCAAAATACGTGTTCTATAGCATTTGTGGAGTTACATGTTAATCAGCAATTTAATTTAAAAAGGTAAGATTGCTTGCTTAGTGGAAAAGTGATTAATATACCTGAGGGTGATAAATTTGGGGGGCTTATCATTTTCACCAGAAAACAATCACTTGTATCTATACCAAAACAAAATATACAAACAAACATGAAATTTCCCTGTGTTGGAGTTGTTTAATTAATTTTCTGACCATCACGGAATCTTTTAAACCATTAACAAAAAGAGAGTTTAGATATCTGATACCTTAACTGTTCTTCTATTAATATTTATGTAAATTTCTACTTCCCGTTAGAAAGTTTCTTCACATCCAAGTTAGAATGAGAGCATTTCTTGTATGCTGTATTTTGAGTTATCTATATTCTATAGTAAAAAATTTAGAAAAATACTTTGCAGATTAAAAATGCGTTATTTTTCAGAATATGTCGACTCAATAAATCTCATTTTTTTCCATTTTTTTAACTTTTGTATTTTGAAACTAGCCAAATTGTTTCATAGAACCGATGTTTATGGTATCTTTTGAACAAAGATAGAAATTGACCCTCCAAATCTTAAAAGTTGAGAAAATTACTTTTGTCTTATCTGAGTTCCTTTCTCAAGAAACCAACCATCATACCTCCCATGTAGTATCAAGGAACTGAAACTTACCAGATCATCACATCTGAACAGTGAGACCTCAGATGCCTCACCTATCATGCCTGGGTAGCAGGGATTATAGGTATCCCATTTCTGGCTAATTTTTTTTTTTTTATCTCTAGTAGAGATGGGGTTTTGCCTTGTAGGCCAGGCTGAACTTCAACTACTGGCTTCAAGTGATCCACCTGCCTCAGCCTCCCAAAGTGCTGGGATTATAGACATAAGCCACTGTGCCCAGCCTATTATATTTAAATATGAAATTCCCTAACAGTTTTAGTCCTGCACCTTTAGTCATTGTCATTCCTATTAGTTAAGAATTATTACTCATTTCACAGATAAGGAAACAGAATAAGATGAAATTGAAATTGAGAAAGAAAAGAATTTTTATCTGAGTAATGCAAGCATTCTTTAATTATCAGGCACAGAGAGGCATTAAAATGTGATAGCATGTGACAGCAGTCATACCTCACTTCCTCCCTTGAGCTAGAACCTTTTGAAACCACTCACTATGTGGGCACTAGATTAACGAACACTAAGTAGCCATAAAATGCCATATGCTGGACACCAGAACTCATAACCTTGAGATTCAACAACGTATGTCCAATCACTAATCAATGTTATTTCATAAAAATACATAAATAACATTATAGTTCAACAATGTATAGCCAATCACTAGTCAATGTTATTTCTGTAAATTAATAAAAATTCTTATCAAACAACTTTGTATCAACTCACTCCTTATTCTCTTTTACCTTTAAAAACGTGCTTTAACGAAGGATTAACAAAACACTTTCCAAGTCAACATACAAGTGTTTCCCAGGCAGCTGTCCTTACTTTGGCTCAAGTAAGCTCTTTACAGTTATATCTTGTGCCTCATCTCCTTCAAAAAGATTCTAACAGCAAAGCCCCTGCTTCCAATAGGCTATGCTTATTTTCAAAAGACCTGTTGATTGAGGTTTTCTATGTGGTGTGTAGCTGACAGAATAAGTTTCTTATCTTCTTTTATTTTTTCTGATCAGTGCTTTCTGACCTAGTAGTAATATATGCTTTATGAAGAACTAAATCAACAGAAGCAACAACAACAAAAAATCAAAACTCCACAGACAGTAGGAAATGTTATAGCTACTATCACTTATCTCTGAGAGGTTATCTTCCAATACGATATTGAGTAATCAGATATCCACTAAATAGCTTCTGTTGGAGTCCATAAAATGATTACTCAGAATATGGCACTTGGGCATGTTGAGCGCTTTTGAACATCAAAAGGCCTCAGAAATAAATCTCAGGATCCCTCTAACTTTGACTTTTTTCCCTCTCTTCCCCCACAAGCTCAAGGAGGGACACTTTTTCTGGAATGTCTTTATTTGACCAAGAAATCTTTTACCAAGAGAAACACAATTTTCTTCTATCCCCTCCTTGAAATCTCATTATTTCACTAAAGAAGAGTAAAGAATGCAACCACACCTGGATGGAACTTATTTTCACAAGATAATATCTGCCTCTTGGGGTCATTCCAATTATTTACAAGTTAGTTTCTATCTCTCTCGTCTATTCATTCTTCCTAATAATTATTTCCTGCACCTCAACAGAATCCTCTACATTTTCCATCTCCTCCCTCCCCTATGGGAAAATGTATATAAGTTTCTGCACCCCATTGAGGTTGGGGGTAATTAACCATGATTCTGGTTGTGTACAATCATATATGTATATGCCTTTGCTTGTATGCTTCTCACCCACTGATTTTTCAGTGAGCCTTCAGAGGCCAAAGGGGAAGTTTTTTCCTCACCCCAACATTTTGCTGTTGTTGGTAGAAGAGTTAAGTTAAAAAGGTCAACACACTGAGTTTTATTACATGAAGTTATTATATGAACTATTTAAACTGAAAGTTTCTTTAGCTGGTAATAAAAAGTATTGGTATGAGTCACTTAAATGATAATCTCAATATGCCTACTAAATGAATAGCACAAGTTTAGAAACTGTTTATTAAACAATTTGCAGTATGCATATTGACAATGTGATGAATAATCTGTCTTATGCTATAAAACACTGGCATAATAAATTTATTTTACCACCTCTTTAATTTTATTTTAATGCTATTTACAATGTTATTGGAGATTTTGAGGTGTCCTCCAATTAATAGAATCCCTCTTCTGCACCTATGTTTTAGGTAATTGAGAAAGCTAATACTGTACATAGTACATGGAAGCCCACATATCAATTTTGGAGATCATAGTTTAGTGTGGAAACCAAAAGCGTTTGCTAAGTGGACTACAGAATTGTCAGATGTGTACTATTCCTAGATAAAACCTTATTTAGACAACCTCCTCATGTAGACAGTCTTGAAGAATGGAAGGGTGAGACAGAACTCATGCTGATTGCAGGTAAGCCAATTTCTACATTTCCAAATGTATGAATAAGTCATGTGTACATATTCCCAAGAGAATGTGAAGCTCATCTAAGACTCAGGAAATATTTCATGGAAATTAAAAGCTGGGAAAGTGCATTTCCCCTGAACACACTAAATATTTATTTACTTAGATTATTATATAATTATAAGCATCATTAATTGCATGAAACATTTATAACCAAGACTTGGATTTAAAAAGCTTCTGGTGAGAGGTGTGGGCAAAGCCAAGGGTTAGCTAAGAGGTAATCTAGGTGACATGGTTTGGCTGTGACCCCACCAAAATCTCATCTTGAATTGTAGTTCCCATAATCCCCACATGTCATGGGAGGGACCCAGTGAGAGGTAACTGAGTCATGAAGCTGTTATTCCCATGCTGTAGTACTTGTGCTAGTGAGTTCTCACTAGATCTGATGGTTTTATAACGGGCTTTTTCCTCTTTGTTTGGCACCTCTTCCAGCCACCATGTGAAGAAGGACATGTTTGCTTCCCCATTTGCCTTGATTGTAAGTTTCCTGAGGCTTTCCCAGCTCTGAAGAACTGTGAGTCAATTAAACCTCTTTCCTTTATAAATTACCCAGTCTCAGGCAGTGCTTTATATCAGTGTGAGAACAGACTAATACAGTAAATTGGTACTGAGGCAGTGGAGCACTGCTGTAAAGATACCCAAAAATGTGGAAGTGACTTTTGGAGTGGGTAACAGGCGGAGGTCAGTTTGGAGGGCTCACAAGAAGATGGAAAAATGTCAAAAAGTTTGGAACTTCCTAGCAATTTGGAGGACTCAAAAGACTGGAAGATGTTTGAAACTTTGAAACTGCCTAGAGATTTGTTGAATGACTTGGACCAAAATGCTGATAGTGATAAGGACAAAGAATTCCAGGCTTGAGGTGGTCTCTGATGGAGAAGAGGAACATGTTTGAAACCGGAGTAAAGATCACTCTTGCTATGCAAAGAGACTGGTGGCATTTTGTCCCTGCCCTAGAGATCTGTGGAACTTAGAACTAAAAAGAGATGATTTAAGGTATCTGGTGGAAGAAATTTCTAAGCAGCAAAGTGTTCAAGAGGAATTAGAGCATAAAAGTTTAGAAAATTTGCAGGCTCATAATGTGATAGAAAAGAAAAACCCATTTTTCTAGGGAGAAATTCAGGCCCTCTGCAGAAATTGGCAGCGTAATGAGGAACTGAATGTTAATCACCAGTTAATCAACTCCAGGGCATGTCAGAGACCTTCATGGCAGCCCCTACCATCACAGGCCCAGAGGCCTAGAAGAAAAAAATTGTTGTGTGGGCCAGGCCCAGGGCTCCCTGCTCTATGCAGCTTAGAGATATTGTGCCCTGCATCCCAGCTGCTTCAGCTCCAGCCATGGCTAAAAGGGGCCAATGTACAGCTCAGGCCGTTGCTTCAAAGGATGCAAGCCTCAAGCCTTGGTGGCTTACATGTGGGGTTAGACCTGTGGGTGCACAGAAGACAAGAATTGAGGTTTGGGAACCTCCACCTAGATTTCAGAGGATCTATGGAAATTCCTGGATATCAAGCCAGAAATTAGCTGCAGGGGCAGAAACCTCATGAAGAATCTCTGCTAGGGCAGTGCAGAAGGAAAATGTAGGGTCAGAGTCCCCACACAGAGTCCTCACTGGGGCACTGCCTAGCGGAGCTGTGATAAGAGGGTCACCATCCTTCAGACCCCAGCATGGGAGATCCACCGATGGCTTGCACTCTACACCTGGAAAATCAGCACACACTCAATGCCAGTCTGTGAAAGCGGCCAGGAAGGGGGTTGTACCCTGCAAAGCCACAGAGGTGGAGCTGTCCAAGGCCATGGGAGCCCACCTCTTGCATCAATGTGAGCAGGATATGAGACATAGAGTCAAAGGAGGTCATTTTGGAGCTTTAAGATTTGAATGCCTGCTGGATGTCAGATTTGCATGGGGCTTGTAGCCCCTTTGTTTTGACCAATCACTCCCATTTGAAATGGCTGTATTTACCCAATGCCTGTACCCCTATTGTATCTAGGAAATAATTAACTTGCTTTCAATTTTACAGGCTCATTGGCAGAAGGGACTTGCCTTGTCTCAGAATGGACTTTGGACTATGAACTTTTTAGTTAATGCTGAAATGAATTAAGACTTTGGGAGACTCTTGGGAAGGCATGATTGTGTTTTGAAATGTGAGGACATGAGATTTAGGAAGGGCCAGGGGCAGAATGGTATGGTTTCACTGTGTCCTAACTGAAATCTCATCTTGAACTGAGGTTCCCGTAATTCCCACGTGTCCTGGGAGGGACTCAGTGGAAGATAATTGAATCACTGGGGCAGTTACTCCCATGCTGCTGTTATTATGATAGTGAGTGAGTTCTCAGGAGATCTGATGGTTTTATAAGGGACTTTTCCCTCTTTGTTTGGCATTTCTCCTTCCTGCTGCCATGTGAAAAATAACATGTTTGCTTCCCCTTCTGCCACGATTGTAAGTTTCCTGAGGCCTCCCCAGCCCTACAGAACTGTGATTCAATTTAACCTCTTTTCTTTATAAATTACAGAGTCACAGGCAGTTCAATGTTTCATAGCATTGTGAGAATGGACTAATACACTAGGGTAAACCAGTGAATGCAACAAAATTTCCAAAATAATTAAACATAATTGCAAAGAGCTATAAATCAAGATAGTGTCTGTTTTAGTCCATTTTATGCTGCTATAACAGAAAACCTGAGACTGAGCAATTTATAATGAGCAGAAATCCATTTCTCACAGTCCTGGAGACTGGGAATTCCAGAATTGAGGGGCTGGCATCTGGTGAATAATTTATTGCTGCCTCATAACACATTGGAGGTATCAGATCATGAAAGGGCAAAGAGAGGGGAAGAGGAGAGAGAGAGAGAGAGAGAGAGATTGCAGAACTTCCCGTCTTATAACTAACCTACCCCTGCAATAATGACATTGATTCATTCACTCTGCCCTCACAGTCTAATCACCCTTCATTAGGATCTACCTCCCAACACTGCTGTATTAGGAATTAAGTCTCCAGCACATGCTTTTTGAAGATCATATTCAAACCACAGAAGTGTTCTACTTTTTCTTAGGTGGCTGTCTTTGTTATAAAAGACATCTTTGCTTGAAACATTTTTCTTCAAGTAAGATGAGCATTATGTGTGGAAAACTTATATTTCTGATCAGTAGACTATGTTTTACAGCAGTGTCAGGAAGTTCTAAATTATGTCTTTAAAATATACAAATAATTTTTAATGCAGAGAAGTGTACTGAAGGTTCACTGTTACTTGTTATTGTTTTGCTTCTGAATTATTTTCTCTAATTTGATGTTAGTTACTTTACTTCCATGAAGACTTCTTTTACTGAACTCAAGCAGTTCAAAATTGTTACAATATGCAGTCATAACTCCCAATAATTAGGCATTAATACTTTTTTCTGATTTCACAGAGTGAATTACATCTTAGATGTAAACTAGTTCTTATAAATAATACTTATATCACATAGCTATGAATTCTCAAGAGTGTATTGTTTTATTATTAGTTATTACCAAAATGCTGCTATAACAGAAAACCTGAGACTGAGTAATTTATAATGAGCAGAAATACATTTCTCACAGTCCAGAGGTTTTGTTGCGTTTGTGTGTGTGTATGTGTGTGTGTGTGTGTGTGTGTATGTGATTTTTTGAGTTTGGATTTAATAACTCAAGGGGAAGAAATTTTGGCTTCTACCTTTGTAGTTTGCCTCAAATTGGCTGACACGGGCTTTTACCAACTGCCCCTGTGTGCCTCAAGGTCAAGGTAATTGAAACTCAAATTTACCCTATTTGCAAATATTCTTAACGAAAAAGCCAGATATAGAATTTTTATTTTCACTTAGTTTTGGTATTTAAATATTTCTAACTATATCAGTATTTAATTAATTCCATTAAGAACATTTTTTTCAAAATGTTTAATTGTACATTTTTGATATTTTTCTCTTGTTTTCCCAGTAAGATCCTCAATAAAGCTACTTAGTCTGCTTGCTGAGAAGAAACCTCATATGTTTAAAAACTACACTTACACATTTTAAAAATATTATTTTTAGACATACGGCTCTAGCATAATCTTTATTCCATATTAGTAACATTTTAAATGTACTTATTAAATGCTTATTTTGCGTTATAATGAAAGGAAGCACTTTGTTTCTTACTACTCTTGAATGTTCATCCACGAATAAATAATAAATATCTTTTTCTTACACTTTCTCACCAAAATTGTAGAAATATTTTCATATTGATGTTATTTCGATGCTCACCATGATCCATGTCTCCCAGATTTCATGCTTGGGGCAGTCCTGTCACACTTTCACAGTGAGCTTGTTCATATGACTGGCTTTGGTCAATGGGACATTAGAGAGCGTCACAGGAGAAAATAAGAGATCTTACTTGAGGTATTGTCCTGTGAAACTGTTTTTTCTTTGGGATTCAACTGCCATATTATAAGAAAAATAGAGCTATCACATCAAGAGATATCACCTGCAGAAAACAGAGACTTGTGGTCAGTTGCCACAGCTGAGCTCCCAACTAACAATTATCATCACTTGCCATTTAAGTGAGTGAACCTTTATGAAAGTATAATTTCCAGCCCAAATCAAGCTATGCTAGGTGAGGCTAAGTAGCACAAATGAACTAGTCTTGCTAAGTTCAGTCCAACCCATAAAACCCTAAGCCATTAAGTTTTAGGATGAGTTTGTTATATTGCAATAAATAACTAATAATGTTATTGTTAAATGTAGAATATAGCCTGTGAAAATGAATTGATGTGTATTATTAAAGATAAAAAATACCTTAAGCAACTATGAATAGTTTTTAAATAAACGAACATAGATATTTCTATTAAAGGTCATGGGCTCTTCTGAAGTTTGCTTTCTTAAACCATTCACGTAACTTTTTGATTTCCTTCATCTGTAAAATGAAAAATAATACTACTAAAAATTAACTTGCATGGAAATTGTAGCTATTAAGTGGAACAATATATGTGAAAATAAACCAATGTCAATCTTAGATAGATAAAAGTTCATAAATAATTGCTATTAGTATTACTGGTCTGTTATTACCTCCAGAAAATGTAACTTTTGAGTGTTAAATATATTCCCTTCTCTTTATAGGTTTTCTCAGTTCCATACCATAGAAATTCTTTAATGCAGGCAACCCTCAAAGATACTGCAGGTTCAGTTCCAGACCAACACAATAAAACAAATATTGCAATAAAGCAACTTGTTGCAGAGAGTTAGACAGGCCATGAGTAGGGGAGGAGAGGGCTCTCTCCCCAACCCACCAGGACCCTAAGGTGATTATTGGAGGATGGTTTGACAGTTATCGCGTTGCCTCTCTAAAAATGATAATTTGGCTGTCACTGCCAGGGAGCGACAATCTCCTGATGGTCCACAGCTGTCACGTTAAAGTGTTAATTGAAGGAAGATACCAGGAAGAAGTAACTCCCGGGGCATGAACATTAAAAGACAAAATGGAGGAGTATGACCTTTCAGGGGCACTCCACTGGAAAAAAAAGGGAAGAAAGCCTCAGATGGACACGCGTAGAACTTCCTAAGCACACTGCGCATGCTCACTTCCCAAATGTAAGGAGGGCACTGCATTTGTGGGCAGCCCAACTTAAGGGAAGATTCATGGGAAAGGGGCACAAGACGCCAGAGGTGGGCTGCTCTATAAAGTCCTAGGATCAAGGTAAAATGCTGCATTTGACCTTCTCAGTGCCCACTTGGGTCTCCTCCAAGTGTACTTTCCTTTCTTTACTGCTCTAAAGCTTTTTAATATACTTCCACTCCTGCTCTGAAACTTGCCTCGGTCTCTTTTTTCTGCCTTACATCCTTCAGTCAAACTCTTCTGAGGAGGCAAGAACTGAGGTCGCTGCAGATCCATACAGATTCACCACCAGTAACTCCGATCCCTTCTGCCATTCAAAAAGTCACACAAACCTTTTTGTTTCCCAGTGAATATACTAGTTATATTAACACTAAACTGTAGCTTATTAGCTTATTAAATATACGGTAGCATTGTGTCTAAAACAACTAAGTGTGTAATATTATTGTGTCTAAAAACAATATACATAATTTGATTAAAAATACTTTATTACTAAAAATTGCTAATATTTATCTTAGCCTTCAGTGAGTTCATAATCTTTTGGCTGGTACAGGTTCTTGCCTCAGTGTTGATGGCCGTTGACTGATGAGGGTGGCGGTTACTGAAGTTTGGGATTGGCTGTGATAATTTCTTAAAATAAGACAACAGTAGGGTTTGCCACAGCAATTGACTCTTTCATGAACTATTTCTCTACAGCATGCCCTGTTTGATAGCATTTTACTCACAGTGGAACTTCTTTCAAAATTGGAATCAATCCTTTCAAACCCTGCTGCTGCTTCCCCAACTATGTCTTCTGTTGTCATTTCAATAATGTTCACCACATCTTCAGCAAGACTAGATTCCATCTCAGGAAGATACTTTCTTTGCTCATCCAAAAGAAGCAACTCCTCATCCATTCAAGTTTTATTATGAGAATGCAGCAATTCTGTCCCATCTTCAGGCTTCACTTCTAATTCAAATTATGTTGCTATTTCCACCACATATGCAGTTACTTCCTCCATTGAAGTCTTAAACCCCTCAAACTTATCCATGATAGTTGGGATCAACTTATTTCAAACTACCATTAATGTTGATATTTTGACCTCCTCCCTTATCACAAATGTTCTTAATGGATCTAGAATGGTGATCTCTTTCCAGAAGATGCTCAATGTACTTTGCCCAGATCTGTTAGAGGAATCCCTATGTGTGGCAGCTATAGCCTTATAAAATGTATTTGTTAAATAATAAGACTTGAAATTCAGAATTACTCTTTGATCCATTAGGAATGAATGTTGTGTTAGCAGGCTTGTAAACAATGTTAATATCCTTGGATATTGGAGTGATTGGGTGTCAAGTGCATTGTCAGCAAACAGTAATATTTTAAAAAGGGCTTTTTTTTTTTTTCCTGAGCAGTAGATCTTTATAGTGGGCTTAAAATTTTCGGTAAACCATGTTGTAAACAGATGTGCTGTGATCCAGGCCTTATTCTTCCATTTACAGAGTACAGGCAGAATAGGTTTAGCATAATTCTTAAAGCCCTAGGATTTCCTGACAGGTAAATGAGCAGTGGCTTCTGCTTCAAGTCACTAGCTGCATTAGCTTCTAGCAAGATAGTCAGCTTGTTCTTTGAAGCTTTGAAGGCAGGCATTGACTTCTCCTTGCTGGCTCTGAGAAGATGGTCATCTCCTTCCATTAGAAGGCTGTATAATCTAGATTGAAAATCTTTTGTTTAGTATAGCTACCTTCATCAAATATCTAAGTCTTCTGGATAACTTCCTGCAGCTTCTACATCAGCACTTGCTACTTCATCTAAGACTTTTGTCTTATGGAGACTGCTTCTTTCCATGTACTTCATGAACCGATCTTGCTAAATTCAAACTTTTCTTCTGTACCTTCCTCATCTCTCTAAGCCTTCATAGAATTGAAGAGAGTTAGGACCTTGCTGTGGATTAGGTTTTGGCTTAAGGGAATGTTGTGGTGGATTTGATCTTCCAACCAGCCCATTCAAAATTTCTCAGGATCAGCAATGAGACTTTTTTGCTTATCTTAATTTCCTTCAAAATCTTTTTCTTAAATTCCCAACTGGGCTCACTATTTATTGCCAGAGATCTAGTTTTTGGCCTATCTTGGCTTTTTTTTTTTTTTTTTCCCTTGAGACAGAATCTCTTTCTGTCACCCAGGCTGGAGTGTCACCCTCAGCTCACTGCAATCTCCACCTCCAAGTTTCAAGTGATTCTTGTGCTTCAGCCTCCCGAGTAGCTGGGATTACAGGTGTGAGCCACCACACCCAGTTAATTTTTATATTTGTAGTAGAGAGGGGATATCACTATATTGGCCAGGCTCGTCTCAAACTCCTGGCTTCAAGTGATCTGCCCATCTCAGCTTTCCAAAGTGCTGGAATTACAGGTGTAAGCCACTGTGCCCGGCCTCTATCTTGGCTTTTGACAGGCATTCTTCACAAAGCTTTGGATTTAAAGTGAGAGATATGTGACTCTTTCTTTCACTTGAACACTTACAGGCTATTGTAGGGTCACTAAATGGCTTGATATCAATAATGTCATGTGTCAGGGAATAGGAAGGCCTGAGGCAAGAGAGACAGAGGAGAGGCTGGTGTGTGGCAAACTGGGAACACAAACGACATTTATAGATTAAATTTCCTGTTTTACATGGGTGTGGTTTGTGATGCCCCAAACAATTACCTTAGTAACATTAAAGATCACTTGTCACAAATCACCATAATAGATAATAATAATGAAAAAGTTTAAAATAGTTTGAGTTATCAAAATGTGACAGAAAGACGCAAACTGAGCACATGCTGTTGGAAAAATGGAGCCGTCAGAGTTGCCACAAACGTTTAATTTGTTAAAAACAAACAGAAAAAAAAAAAACAAAAAACCCTCAGTATCCTTGAAGGACAATAAAGTGAAATCCAATAAAGCAAGGTATTAAGTAGTACTTAATATTATGAAATAGAGCAGATATAATCTTCTTTAGGGATAGACATTATAAATTAAAATGTTTTCTTTTTATTATCAATCCCTCTTTTTCATATTTTCTCTGAACTTGCATCCAATTTTCTGCACACTTTCTGTGTAAAAATTAATAAATAGTTTGATACTTTATTGAAAGATAAATTTTGTATTTACTGGTTTTTCAGTTGCACTGGGCACTGTAATTTTACTATTTTTCCTTTTCATCTAATCACATCAACCACACCAGAATTCCCTATCAAACAGAGCATTCAGTGCTTTCAACTATGTACTCTAACATCCTTCACATGCAGTTAAACCATAAATTGGGAGTATTGCCAAAAATAATTATTCTTTTATCCCATATATTTTTATTCCTGAGAATAATGTATTTTCTTTGGTTTTAAACTTGATATCCAGCTGGGTCTAACTTTAATAACTCTGTTGTAGAAGAGATTACTGGGAGCCATTTGAGTTATTTCTATCAGGTGGCAAAAGATGAATTAACAGTGTCAAAACACCCAATTTGTGGTAGTACATTGTTGAAGAACAAACACATCTCCTAATTGGAAATTGACAGCTTTGGCACTAATTTGAACTAATCATTGCTAACATTCACACTAGCCTCCATTTCTGCAAGCTCTATTAAGTCATTAAAATGCCATGACAGTCTTCTCCACAGGTGTGGAAAACCAGATCCTTGCCTGTAGCAGACTTAATTAAGATAACAGCTGGATAGTTAAACTTAAAAAAGAGAAATCCGAGAGATGATAATATTTTTCAGAGTGCCCAAAATGAAAAGACTAGTAGGGGAGTGGCTTGTTTTTATTTTATCCGGAATTTGTTAGCTGAGAATTATATAATTTATAGATGCTTGCTAAATATGTAATGAAATTATGATTAAAATGCTAACATAATTAAATAGTACATATATTAAGATTGAGCTAAATAATTTTAAACTTGGAGTTTGTGGTTTTACTGATAGCTCCCAGATAGTAAGAACATGCATTTGCTGTTGCTCGTGTTTTTCTTCCATTAAACAGTCTATCTTTCTCTCTTAATGACATAATTTGATATAACCATTCCCAGAACAGTTTATTGGACTTTGAATGCAAGAAGAGAGTAAGAACAACAATATAAATTTTGTTGTGATAGAGGAACTATTACTGGCTGATAACAAATTGGGTGGGTCACCACAGCATTTTTCTCTCGGAAAAATATTTGTCTTAACATTTTCGTGAAAAGCAAGATATTATAGAGATTTTAAAACTCTATATGATACAAGAAATCTGGTTCCCCACAAACTATCACCTTTCTTAATTTGAGTCTAGAGTCAGTCTTTAGCATAGATTATTCTTGAATCCTAATCTTATCTTAAATCTGACCTATTAAAACTACTGTCTAAAATATATGCAGTAAGCAACATTTCTATACAGAAACATAATATTTTAAAAACTATTTTCATCTCATTTAAATTTTCAATATATCTCAATGTGTATTTGGTTATATATATTCAAAACATTAGATATATAAAATTAAATTTCAATTTATATCTGTTTATCTCTTTATATTACTATGTATCTATGTCTATCTATCTGTTATATCTGAGCTTTATCCCACAAAATGTTCATATTGAAGTCATAATCCCCAGTACCTCAGAATGTGTCTGTGTTTGGAGATATGGTCTTTAAAGATGTAATTAAGTTAAAATTAGGTCATTTATGAAACATTTCCCTATGAAAAGAAGACATTTGGACACAGATTTACAGAAGAAATTCAGCCTCAAATCTGTCTTTGGACTCAAATGGAAGCATTTACTCATTCCTGTGTTTCTAGCCTATAGGTCTATCCTGGAAACTTACAGATTCTGGACTTTCTGGCCTCCATCCATAATTAAGTGAGCCAATTCCTTAAATAAGTCTCTGTCTTTACACACACACACACACACACACACACACACACACACACACACACATCCTGTCGGTTCTGTTTCTGGGGAAAACCCTAACTGAATACACTATCTATTTGTCTTTCTGTCTGTCTATCTGTCTAGTAACTGAGAGGGAAAGAGAGATTTTGTTAAGAGAATTAATAAATCGAACACTTCAAAGTATGCAAGGTATTTCAAGTACGAAAATAAAATTCTGTAAGGAAGGTAAAATAAAAAGATAATTTCTATGAAGAAAATGGAAATACGTGTAATGCTCAAAACTTAAAGAATAGCATCTATGGACAGATAGGTGGAGAAATTGATAGTGATAGTGACTATATAACTGCTGTGGTAATTTCAATAGAAAAATTAAAAGAGAAATATATCTATTTTTAAAATCCTTGGGGGGAATGCAGTGGCTCACACCTGTAATCCCTGAACTCTGGGTGGCCGAGGTGGGAGGATCACTTAGGGCCAGGAGTTTGAGACCAGCCTGGGTAAGAGAAACCCTGCCTCTACACAAAATAAAAAAGTTATCTGGGTATGGTGGCATGTGCCTGTAGTCCCAGCTATTTGGGAGGCTGATGTGGGAGGACTGCTTGATCCCAAGAGGTTGAATTTTAGTGAGCCAAGGTCATGTGCCACTGCACTCCAGCCCAGGGGGACAGAGTGACACCCTACAAAAACAAAAACAAACAAACAAATGACAACAACAGAAATCCCTCAGAATTATAAAATGCTGACAAATACCTTATTTGAACTGTTTAATCCCATGTAGAAAACACACTAAAATATTTGAAGGGGCATATATGCCCCCACATGAAATGATAAATACATTAGGGATACTGAAACTGAAATGTATGCAGGGCTCTGTTTACTTAATTAATAAAGTGGTTTAAAAACAAATGTTAAATTAAAATAAAAGTGTATCATTAAAATTGTAACAGGTAGGTCTCTGTTGTAACAAAGGCAGCCTACGATGTATATACACAATCTTTTATATATTTATATTATGGTTATTTATGTATATATTCCTTCATTTTAAACTCAGTGTTACTGGAAAAATCATACTTTTAGGCCAAAGTGTAATATTAATCAGTGTGAGGAAAGTGCTACTGAAAGAACTTTTGATTTGTGTTCAAATAATACAGTTTAATTATTTTAAACAAATTTTGCAAGTGTACCAGGAGATTCTGAAGTGCCTTTATAAGTAGTCACAGATAAACCTAAGAGAAAAAAAGTAGTAAATTACCTCCAGCCTCAATGAGCTTACCTATTTAAGTCATAAATTAAAACACAGTGTAATACCTTGTATGCTAGGTGATATAGGTAACACACAGAACCCTAAGTCACAGAGGATATCCAAAAACTTTTTCCAGAGAATGCAAGCCTTGAACTTAAAGAAGAAAAAACAAATGAATAAATAATAGTCAACCAGGTACATGATATTGGCTCAGAGAGTGTTTGGAGGCAAATATAGAATGTTGAACTTACATGACTCGAGTGACTATCAGAGAATTATATTTAGAGATATACTGCAGTGTTATTACATCAGATAATATGAGTACATTTAAGGATAATTTTCCTGATACTATGTAAAGATTTCCAAGAATTAAAAAAAATTATCATATAAAGTTTTAGAAAGATTTTTACTAGCACCATATGAACTTTAAAGTAGTTTTTTCCAATTCTGTGAAGAAAGTCATTGGTAGCTGGATGGGGATGGCATTGAAACTATAAATTACCTTGGGCAGTATGGACATTTTCACAGTATTGATTCTTGCTACCCATGAGCATGGAATGTTCTTCCATTTGTTTGTATCCTCTTTTATTTCATTGAGCAGTGGTTTGTAGTTCTCCTTGAAGAGGTCCTTCACGTCCCTTGTAAGTTGTATTCCTAGGTATTTTATTGTCTTTGAAGCAGTTGTGAATGGGAGTTCACTCATGATTTGGCTCTCTGTTTGTCTGTTATTGGTGTATAAGAATGCTTGTGATTTTTGCACATTGATTTTGTATCCTGAGACTTTGCTGAAGTTGCTTATCACCTTAAGGAGATTTTGGGCTAAGACGATGGGGTTTTCTAGATATACAATCATGTCATCTGCAAACAGGGACAATTTGACTTCCTCTTTTCCTAATTGAATGCCTTTTATTTCCTTCTCCTGCCTGATTGCCCTGGCCAGAACTTCCAACACTATGTTGAATAGGAGTGGTGAGAGAGGGCTTCCCTGTCTTGTGCCAGTTTTCAAAGGGAATGCTTCCAGTTTTTGTCCATTCAGTATGATATTGGCTGTGGGTTTGTCATAGGTAGCTCTTATTATTTTGAGATAAGTCCCATCAATACCTAATTTATTGAGAGTTTTTAGCATGAAGGGTTGTTGAATTTTGTCAAAGGCATTTTCTGCATCTATTGAGATAATCATGTGGTTTTTGTCTTTGGTTCTGTTTATATGCTGGATTACGTTTCTTGATTTTTGTATGTTGAACCAGCCTTGCATCCCGGGGATGAAGCCCACTTGATCATGGTGGATAAGCTTTTTGATGTGTTGCTGGATTCGGTTTGCCAGTATTTTATTGAGGATTTTTGCATCAATGTTCATCAAGGATATTGGTCTAAAATTCTCTTTTTTGTTGTGTCTCTGCCAGGCATTGGTATCAGCATGATGCTGGCCTCAGAGCTCACATTGCCAAGTCAATCCTAAGCTAAAAGAACAAAGCTGGAGGCATCACGCTACCTGACCTCAAACTATACTACAAGGCTACAGTAACCAAAACAACATGGTGCTGGTACCAAAACAGAGATAGAGATGAATGGAACAGAACAGAGCCCTCAGAAATAATGCCACATATCTACAACTATCTGATCTTTGACAAACCTGACAAAAAGAAGCAATGGGGAAAGGATTCCATATTTAATAAACGGTGCTGGGAAAACTGGCTAGCCATATGTAGAAAGCTGAAACTGGATCCCTTCCTTACACCTTATACAAAAATTAATTCAAGATGGATTAAAGACTTACATGTTAGACCTAAAACCATAAAAACCCTAGAAGAAAACCTAAGCAACACCATTCAGGACATAGGCATGGGCAAGGACTTCATGTCTAAAACAGAAAAAGCAATGGCAACAAAAGCCAAAATTGACAAATGGGATCTAATTAAACTAAAGAGCTTCTGCACAGCAAAAGAAACCACCATCAGAGTGAACAGGCAACCTACAGAATGGGAGAAAATTTTTGCAATCTACTCATCTGACAAAGGGCTAATATCCAGAATCTACAATGAACTCAAACAAATTTACAAGAAAAAAACAACCCCATCAACAAGTGGGCAAAGGATATGAATGGACACTTCTCAAAAGAAAACATTTATGCAGCCAAAAAACACATGAAAAAATGCTCATCATCACTGGCCATTGTGGCCAATCAAAACCACAATGAGATACCATATCACACCAGTTAGAATGGCGATCCTTAAAAAGTCAGGAAACAACAGGTGCTGGAGAGGATGTGGAGAAATAGGAACACTTTTACACTGTTGGTGGGACTGTAAACTAGTTCAACCATTGTGGAAGTCGGTGTGGCGATTCCTCAGGGATCTAGAACTAGAAATACCATTTGACCCAGCAATCCCATTACTGGGTATATACCCAAAGGATTATAAATCATGCTGCTCTAAAGACACATGCACACATATGTTTATTGTGGCACTATTCACAATAGCAAAGACTTGGAACCAACCCAAATGTCCAACAATGATAGACTGGATTAAGAAAATGTGGCACATATACACCGTGGAATACTATGCAGCCATAAAAAATGATGAGTTCATGTCCTTTGTAGGGACATGGATGGAGCTGGAAACCATCATTCTCAGCAAACTATCGCAAGGACAAAAAAACAAACACCACATGTTCTCACTCATATGTGGGAATTGAAAAATGAGAACACATGGACACAGGAAGGGGAACATCACACACCTGGGACTGTTGTGGGGTGGGGGTAGGGGGGAGGGATAGCATTAGGAGATATACCTAATGCTAAATGAAGAGTCAATGGGTGCAGCACACCAACATGGCACATGTATACATATGTAACAAACCTGCACATTGTGCACATGTACCCTAAAACTTAAAGTATAATAATAATAAAAAAAGAAAGTTTTTTACTAGCACCAATTTGGAGTATGTATTAGTGACATTAAAACTACAATAATAACATCACTTTTAAGCAATCGTTATTTAAGGAGTCAAATAAAGTAACCCAGCAGGCATTCTGATTACATTCTCTTAAAGAAATATTTAAAAGAGAAAGCTAGTTGTATTGTTAGAACAAGTAAAATATTTGATCAATTAGATGATGTGTATACAGTCTTTTAAAAAGTTCTAAATCATCCCCTCTTTCATTTGCTGGGCTTAGGGATTATGGGGATTGTATTGCAAACATACTTTCAGTTGTAGCTCTAAAACTTTAAGATGATTTTCATAAAATTTCTACCTATTCTATCAATGCAACACTCAGTTCTGCAAATCGAAATAGCTTCCAGTTAATGTTGGAGTGTAACCTTTTCACAGGTGTAGCACAACACAGTAGGTGGTTAAAAGCATCAATTAGAGATATGTAATTATAAAGTGTGTGGCAATATAATTACACCCATAAACTTATCTTTGTGTTTTCTGTAATATTGAAAATGATTTAAGGCACTATTTTCTGAAAAAATTATAGGAAGTTATTCTTTAAGAATGCCTCCTAATGTTTCTGAAAATTTCAACATTAGCACTAGGTAAAATTTTCAATATACAAGTATACATTTTATCTGTTTTTTAAAAAATGGTTAGCTTTTCCTTTTTAAAAAAATCCTGTGTGATATTACTTCAGAAAGACTGGGAAATATATTACAGAAAAAAAAATTAATAATCTATTGTCAATCTTTCCAAAGAATACTATTAAATATATATTTTATTCAATCATGTAATCATAAATATGTGTGTATATATATTCATAATTAAAGACCAAAATAAATCTGTATCATATGCAGCTGTATATTAATTGATAAAATAAATAAGAATATTATAAATTTACCAATGCTGACTAATTTTACAATTTATTTTGCCACTATTTGAACCCACATATTTAATATTTAACATGCTTATAATATGGTTTAAAAAATCTATACTTAAATTGACATATTTTAAACTTGTTACATAATGGTAAGTGTATTATAAATTCTCATTTATTCTTGTACAGGGTGAAGATGGATGGTATAAAGAAAAATATTTAAAATTCAGATACACTCATGGGTCTTATTTTTTTTCTTCTTATGTATGGCATTAGTCACTTTCATGTCAGGACTTGACATAGGATAAGAAACAGAGGGCAATGCTGTAGAGCAAGCATTGATATCCAAGAGTATAAATATAGAAGGTAAATGGTCTCAGAATTGATGTCATAGCATGCATAAACTCGATCTGTTCCCTTCTTGTTCTGTACCCTACTTTATAAATAATGATTTTTTTTTGTACCTGGGGAGGAGCTCCTGAAACAAATTACATGAATAAAAGTCAGGTTCTGTTAATAAATGTAAGGAGGGTACAAATGCCAGGAAGGTATTAGCAGTACCTACCATATGTGCAAGGACAAAATAGGAATTCTTTAGTATTACTATCTTCTTGCTGCTTTCTCAGAATTTATCTGGCATTCTTTAGTTTATATTACATTACAGAATGCACCATGCCTTGTCCTCTCAGAAGTCTTTGACCTTGGCATACATGAAGAATGTGTGGAATGTATGGAAACATGCAGTCAGCACATCATTGTTAAGCACTGCTTACTCCTTAAATATTGGATGCATTTCTGTTTTTACAGGTTGCTTAAAGTATATTGGAGTCAGCCTCTTCAGTTTTGGTTCCCTTTCCACCATATTTTCAAAAATTCCATAAACATTTTTTCTCCAAAATAAATTGCCATGATAATGACTACAGTTGTATTTGTCTACAAGTTACTGCTAAGTTACCTTTGTACTCAGGTCATTGATGAGACTTAAGAGTTTAGGTGTGCAGTAGATCATTTAACTAATTCATTATCCTCCTCATTCTATAAAACTTAAAAAACATTATTTTTTCATCATAAGAAAGATGAAATGATAAAAGAATGGGATACATCTATCAGTCAAAATAATTCATAAAGCCAAAGCACATGTTCTAATAACTGGAGGTAAATAGTACTATTTTTGGACGCACATTTGTACAAAAATGCTGTACTCAAGGCAAATCAGGGCAGAGTGAAGATCCATTTCCCCAGAGATTAGCTAAGGGAAATTAAATGTATTATACATGTAGAAGTAAAGAGAATTTCCTTTCCCATCCTTCCGAAGTTTTGATAATTGGTTCTATAAAATTAGTCTTATAAAGGCCTTATTTTTTCTTCCACCAGAGAACTAGTTCCCTGACCAAGAATCAAACACTGGCCACAATAGTAAAGGAATGGAATCTTAACCACTAGACTATGTATAGCATTTTCTTTTATGAGCCCTTCAGGGGATTCAAATCAGGCATTTTGAGCATACAAAATATTTTAATTTTGTTTTAAATTTGATTTACACTTTTTTCCCCTAATCTTGCCAACAGAGTTTCTATTGTATCTTTTACAGGTGTCAATCAGGTAGCTATTTAAGATGAGAGCTCTCTAAAAAGTATTATTTTAAACGTAGCCAATTTATTTTATAAGCAAACTCGGTTCACATACTTTTTTTCTTGTTAATCCAATTTTGGAAAGGGAAAAAGACAAAGACTTGTACTACTCTTGTTAGACCAAGTGTTACAGGGAGAGATCTGGGGAGCTGACTTTTGGAAAGAAATCTTGCGCTTTTTGCCAGCCTGTAGTCAGTTGTCCAAGGATCCCAATTGAGGTCTTCAAATTTTTCATCCTGCTGACTATGCTGAACTGTAGAGGCAAAGGGAATTTTCCCCACTTCTGAAAGTTTGATACTTTGAGCCTATAAAACAAACTGATAATAGATCAATGGGGAAAAAAGGAACACACATTGATTACATGCACTCATGTCCATAGCAGTCATAAAAAATAGGAAAACTCAAAGAAAGGACCAGATGACCTAACTTTTTTTTTTTTTTTTAATCATCCAGAGTTTACAGAATAAGTATGGACTTGGAGAATGACAAGAGAAGTTACAGGATGGAGAAGTGGAGGAAAGGCATGGAGCAAAGGTGGTCTTGTTATGGACAGAAAAGGTCACATGTAGCAGCTCTCAGAAAGGAAATATGGCAGTCTGTGGTAACAGTTTCTCAGTCAGACCTTTTGTCTTCTTTTTCTATGAGATAATCTTTCCTAGACCAAAGAGGGACTTCAGAGAAGGCCTGTATGTATCTGTTGTTAATTTCTTCTGCAGGCAAATCTCTTCTACGTGGGACAACTTTTCAGCTATTCCTGTGTTTTTAGCTTCTCTGAATGACCATCTTGAAATATGTCAAGGAAGTACATTTTGAGCATATTTTTGGTTTCCTTCATACATAGCCTGAAATGAAAAACAGTGCATATAAACTCTGTCCCTAATTGAAGTTATTAGAAAGGAGGAAATGTATCTCTTTCTATCTACTCATCTATAACTTTTTAGCCATTTAGTAGAAAAACTAAACTAAAACTTTTTTTTCCCACCATACCATGCTTTTTCCTTCTTAACCCAGTTTAAGGCCTTATTAAGAATAATTGTTTTTCTTATATATTTTAAATGCCTTGGTGCATGTCATATATTTATAATGAGGAACAATTTATTTATTTGCAATTATGAGTATGTGAGAAATATTTTTTAAGAAGGAGATATTAATAAATCTTTACTCATATACCTGTATTAACTATTTATCACAACTAATAACTACTAGTATATAATTACTACACATACCAATGCCTAATTTATCATAATATATGCATATAATGACTTATGGCATACAAAAGAATGACGTTTGCAATTATGCCTGCAATTTTTTACTCCTATGCTACTACTATTGGTATTTATTGCCTTAAGACTTATGATATATTTATAGCGATTAATACACAGCATCCCACGTACAATAAAACTTCAACATCTCTGTCTGTGTGGAAGTATCATTAATGTCTAGTAAGGATTCTGATTATCTTGAAACTCTCTTGGCTTTTACATAAAATATAAGCCTGTACTCCACGAGGGTTGAGCTGTGGGATGTTTTCAAAAGTATCTCTAATCTCGACTCATCTTGCATTCTCTCCAACAGAAATCCATGCAGCCTATCCTTTATAAAATTCTGATTGAAGTCATATCTATCTTAGAAGGTTTAATATCTTAAAATATGCTAAGAGTTGGGAAACTTATGATCAAAGTAGCTATCAAAATGCAAAAATATGACTGTCATTGTTCTCGAAAGGTAAATAGCAATCATTCATGGGCTTTGTGCAGTTCCCTCCAGTCACTGTGATCTGATCTGTTCCCGTGAAGCTGGTTTGCCATTGATTAAATGCTCTTATCTCGATTGCCAAGTTAATCTTGTGTGGCATCCAAGCTTTTATTTTATCTTCTTTACACAGTCCCCTTCAGGCTCTACAAATGTGAGTAAACTTTAAAGAAATCACAAACCAGCAGTCATCCTTTTCTTCTCAACAAGTTGCTCTTCATAAAACACTCTGTCAGTTGTTAAGTTCTCTCTAGACACACACTTCGCTTTTTTTAAGAACTGAAAATATTTTATGGTGCTAGAAAATTTTGATGTCTCCCTAAGAATTACTGTTACAAGGAGATGCTTAGCCAAGGTGTTTGTGTGATGGGCTAAGGTCCTCACATAGAAGGAAGGAATTGGGGAGAGGAAGAAGCATGGAGGAATTTAGCTGTGGGCCATGAATTTTGATAATTTGTTTTACGTATTAATACATTTGGTAAGATTGTTCTCCTTATAACATTAGCACATATCAATACTAATACCTGTTCCATTATTTAGCTATTGTTCACTTATCAGAAATATACAACAAATTAAAAATAAAAGAGTTCCTCACAAGATGGCCTTGTACCTTGGCAGAATCTAGTACTCTACCACATAAATCTTGTAGAAATTCTAGTTTACTGTGATAAGCAAAGAGAATATAGCCTCAGCTTTAGATACTAGCATCAGTGAGGAGTAGTTCAGTGAGCCTGACTTCTTGAGTCTACCAAGTTATTAGGTATAGGGGATAAGTTTTGGTGTGTCAATGGGAATCTCTGTTTTTGTTTAGGTCCTACCAATTTGTGGGAAACCTCAAATAGATATTGGTGAGTCACATCCAGCATAATATCCTAATAATATTTTCAACAGTGTTTATTAAGACATATCATCAAATTCTAACTTCAAAATACTAGAGGAAAAAATTCCTTTTCATGACCAGTGAACCTACACTAGGCAGCATGTATTCACATTTTCATTGTAGCTAGATACTAATAAACAATAAGAACAATTAATCTTCTGCATTAAAAAGGTAGAACTGAGCAAGGCAAACTTGATAAACTTTTATCTTGAGAGGGATACATTAGCTTAAGATTTACCAGATAAGTACCCATATATTAGAGAGATGATATATATCATACATATATGGACACTTTATTCATACATATAATAGTAGAAAATAATAATTTTAAAATGTGGTTACCTACTTCAGAGAGCACATGTCTCTGAGTTTAGATAAATTAATTTGAATTAATTCTCAAAGACAGTAATGGTAAAGACCACATTCTCTAAATGCAATACAATAAAATAAAGAACACTGTTATAAACAAAACTGATTAACTGGACAGATTTAAAAAATAAATAAAAACATCTATCTAATTAATGAATTCAGAAGTAATTCAAATTACAATTGTAAAATATTCAAAATATGGTATTAATTACATTACTTAATATATAGTATATGAGAGGTAGGCATAGCTATACAAGAGATTATTTTCCATACATGCTATTATCATATGCACCACCATGACAGAAAAGAATGGGATTAGTTTTATTTTTTAACCTTTAAAAAGATAGATAATTTGTGAAAAATACAAACCAAAACCTTTGTGTTTTTCTTATCTAAAAATGTATTCAAGAAGTAATGAATTGAATATGATCTTATTTTTACATGGAAGTTCAGTTAATCATACTCTTAGTTTAATATTAGTCTCAGTCTTTACTTACTGAAACTGAAACTGTCTTTGAAAGAGCCAATAAATTTTCATTGTCAAAAAAGATAGTAGAGATGTCCTCAAGTGCAGCTGCACATTGAATTAGACTGTTGCAGTACTTCAATTTGCCTTATAATTTATTGTGTATGACAATCTAATGTTATAGAATAAGGATCACAAAGGAGGTAGAACAGTATATAAGAAATTCAAAAAAAATTATAGCAGTAAGAAATTGGTTTGAGTAAAGCATCTCTGAGCTTGAGGATATGTTTATATATCTATATCTATATAGATATAGATATATGTGGGAGACGGTATTTTAATAAATTATAATAAATGAATACCTTAAATCTTTCCATGTAACAATATAAGTAAAGTAAATTATTTACATTGTCAAAGAGAGGAGAACAAGGAAGAATTAAGGCAGTGGAGTTTGAATTACACTATCCAAAAGCTATTCCCCTGGCTATATTATTTTGTATATTCAAAAAGTAGAAATGAACAACATTAAAATTCTTATGAAAAAATTGTGCATTGGTGACAGAGTGAATGGCTTTTAGGACTTGTGACACTAGAGGTATGAGAGAAACAGTGTATCTACCTACTAGTCTGGAAGAGTAGTACTGTTGTATGCAATGCCCTAAGATTCTGTATGAAATTATGTTTACATTATACCCAAAGTCTTTCTATAATAAAAATATTTACACAGGACGATGCTTTACAACATATCATGAGATTGGTACATTTTAAATTTGTCCGTAAAAACTAAGATTTTACTAATCATATTTTGATCATATAATATGATAAATAAACTACTTTGATCTATACTTTAAGTATTCACTGAAGTTGAAAATATTACATGACTAGGAATACAATAGAAAAAAGCTGGATAAAACTATTATCTACTTATTATCTCTCATAGTCATACATATTCTGATTTGCCTAATAATATCTCTGTAAAAACTTGTATGATTCATGGTTTATCTTTATGTAAGTGTTCTGTCTTTTCTGAAGTTTTGGTGCCATAACAAACATTTGTGTTTTTTTGTGTGTTGTTTTCATATATCCTGACATAGCATGCCATTTTCCGTTCTTAAAATTATGAGGGCTGAAAATGACTTTAGCTTCATGTGATTATCTCAGCTAATCTCCTTTGTGCTCTATATTTTAATGTATCCAGACAAACAAGTACACAGAGAGTTTCTCTCAATCTGTAGATGTGACAGTAAGAACATCCTCGTTACTAATACTGAAAGACCAGAAGGAATCACGTATCACTCACACTGGGCTTCTGCTTGTGATTCAGCCTGCAATGCCAGCTCTGGAAATTCTAGTCCACAGTAGTAAACAAATCTCGCCTATTTTTTTGGAGTTCAGGAATAATAATTGTCTAGGTCACTTCATTTGAGAGTAATATATGCTATTATATAAAACCTAGTATTATACATAGCGGCTACCTAACAAAGACATATGTGTGATTCCCTTTATCTGCAAAATGGGAAAAGAGAGCAATTGTTATATATTTTAGGCAAATAAATGAACTTTCTGTTGGTATGGTTTAGATTTTAAGTTTGTGTTTTAGCAGAAAAAAATACCAGCAATTTTTAACTGAAAATATACTGGATTTTGAGTTGCTTTTTTGGTAATAAGGTAACTCGAAGTAAGTTACTGGTTCTTGTGATGAATCATGCAAATATACCATTATAGATGAAATTTTGTCCGCCCCAAGGATCTTATGTTGAAGTCCTAACCCCCTACTGTAACTTTATTTAGAGATAGGGCATTTAAAGAGGTAACCCACATTAAATGATGTCATAAGGGTGGGCCCTAACCCAATAGAACTGATGTACTTATAAGAAGAGGAAGAGACATCAGGGATGTGGATGTACACAGAGAAAATGTCATGTGAGAACACAGCAAGAAGGCAGCCATCTGCAAGCCAATGCACCAGGTCTCAGTAGAAACCAAACTTGTCAACACCTCTATCTTGAACTTTTGGCCTCCAGAACTGTGAGAAAATAGATTTCTGTTGAATAGGTCATCCAGTCTGTAATATTTTGTTATGGTAATCTTAGCGGACTAATATATATAATAAAAGCTAATTGGACTCTGGAAAGGTTGAGGTCAGAGGATAATTGTGTCTGGCCACCAGAACATATCCTCAAACACTAACTGTGGAGTATAACATAAGCCAGTTTACTCAGCTCAAGATCCATGTACAGTGTCGGCCATCCTATCCACCTCCATCGTCAACCTTATTAGGATAAAAACAGATTCCTGAATCATCCAAATTTTAGGCTCTTTGACTGTATGCAATTAATAGGCTGTGGTTTAAAAGCAGGGAGGATGTTGATCCTACAGAACCCTGTTCTGAGCGTTTGAGTGCAGTCAGAAGCCACTCTGACATGGTAAAATCCCTCCACCAAAAGCTGCACCGTGTCTGTGATGCGTCATGGGAGAACAGAATATTTTTGGCTTACCAAGGGTAAAGGTGACAAGGAATTGTGGCACTCTCGGACATCCCCGTATTAATCCATTACCTTCTGTATAACACTAGAAAAAAATTGCATTTGGTAAAAGAGTGGTTGTGGTGTTTGTTTGTTTGTTTGTTTGTTTGCTTGTTTCCCTCCCTGGAGTGTATCTACTGTCTGCTTCTGGAATGATCCCGAGTTCCTCAAAGCCAAGGACAACTATCTTACATTCTGTTAGTGGAAACTACTTGGGTACATAAATTATAATAATCATCTTGTTATTTGATGTGTAAATAAAACAGATTGTTTCACCTAGATTTTCATCTCCTTTAGATCAAGGGCCATATCTGATATTTCATTTTAATTCCTACAAATTTAAAGCATATATCCCTTCATTGAGAATACTTTAATTATTTGATTTTATCACCAAGGAATATTTCTGCTTCTCTCTTTCTAAGAAGGAAGTTAGGAAGGACACTTGCAGAAAAAGTATATTCTTAGCAAAAGATTTCTGTATTTTTTTTTTAATTTTACTGTAAGTTCTGGAATACATGTGCAGAACGTGCAGGTTTGTTACATAGGTATACATGTGCCATGGTGGTTAGCTGCACCTATCAACCATCATCTAGGTTTTAAGCCCAGCATGCATTAGATATTTGTCCTAATGCTCTCCCTCTGCTTGCCCCCAACTCCCCGACAGGCCCTGCTGTGTGATGATGTTCCCTCCCTATGTCCATGTCTTCTCATTGTTCAAATAAGATTTAAAATACAACCTTGTCCTTGAATATACTTCTTATATGTAAGAGTTATTTTTCATTGGTTAGTGATGATACTACGACCTGGTTAAATAACATGCTTGCTATATCAAGAAAATATTCAATTATAAGATACTCTATATCTCCTTATGCTACACTGAGAAAATAATAAAGATAAGTTGGGGACACAACGATACACCTTAATGTTTCTGACAGAGAGAAAACAAACTTCTAAAGTACTTTTAGTTAGTTTAAACATCAGTAGAAAGTCTGTAACAAAGACATATTTAGCTTCTAGATTTTATTGCCACACATCTTAAAAGTATGTCCTCATATATTTTAATTTTTAAAAAAGGAACAGCCTCCCATATAGCCTAAATTATGTTTAGTATTCACGAAGGCAAACATTTTTTAAAAGTAAGATTTTGAACAAAAATTTTACAAGCACATTCTTAACACCTGTCCTTGAAAAACTAAACAAAAGATATTGGTAAGATGAGTAGTTTTTAAAAAGCAAATAATTTTACCCATCTGTTTAGTAAACACAGCAGCAAAAATATTTGTAAAGAAGAACGGTGAATAAAAGCCTTGTTTCTGTGTCAGGAATACTAGTTAGCAATCTATCTTCTGAAGTAAAAGTGACTTTTAAAAACTGAGGTATAAACTATCTGTGTTTATTCAGTAATTAAACCAATTTATTATTACAGGGAAATGTAGGTAAAGTGATCATTGACATTAATGCTTTTCGTAGATTTTATTGCTTTTTACAATATCAACATTTTCATGATGCACAATTAATTAGATGCTTTCAATGGAGTTAGAATAATTATAGAATTTTTGAAGATGTAAGATGCAAAATATAACTCCAGATGCTCGAGTTGCTATTTTTCTGCTTTCATCTACATACATACACACTTCAAATAACTGATAATAAGCAATTTTTTCTCCATTGCTTTTTGTCTATGTGAAATGTAGATTTTAGGGTAAATATTTGATTTTGGAATTCCAGGTAGATTCTCATTTACCACTGTTTCATACTGTATCTAAGAAATTAAAATTACTTTTAATTCTTGCTGTTTTTAAAAAGACTAATTTTTAAAAATATCCTTACCCTATGAAGCAGTATTTTCAGAGAAAATTGAGGTTTTCTTATAGGAAACCCCTGGAATTCCTGGCCTGATCATAGTAATCTTATCTCCATCATATGAAGCCAACTTCAGATCATTGTCTTATATCTCTGAGGAATAGAATCCCTCTCTTTTTAGAGGTTAATCCCGTTATCTGTGTTCAAACCTCTATTTCCTGTTTTTTCTCCAAACTTCTTCTTTCTGCATCTTTCAGTTTTTCTGCTTACAAATTTTCCTCAAACTAAAGTCAAGTTCAAATCTCTTCCAGTTTAAGATAAATAGAATATGGTGTAAATGCCCAGCACTACAAAATTCACTGAATGTCATTCTTTATTTACTGATTTTATTTCCTTACTTTCAAATATCTTTTCAATATGTTGCAGTTACCTATATTCATATTTTTATCTATTTCAACAAACTTGTATGTCCTGCAATACCTCTCTTATACTATCATCAATGCATTTACATAAAATAGAAATGCGTTATATTACTTTCTTCACCCTGAGGGTTTATAACCAATTATTTATTTATCAAGATATGTTGATTATATTTTGTCATCACCATTTGTCTTAATCTGTTCAGGTTGCTTTACAAAAATGTCATAAACTGGGTACCTTACGAGAAACAAAATTATTTCTCACAGTTCTGGAGACTAGGACGTGCAAGTTCAAGTCATCAACAGATTTGCTGTTTGGTGAGGGTTCTCTTCCTCATAGACAGCACCTTCTGTGGCATCCACATGCAGCAGAGGGAAGAATAAGAGCCCTCTGAGCTTCTTTTGTAAAATAACTAATCCCATTTACGGAGCTCAGCCTTCATGACCTAATCACCTCCCCAAAGCCCCACCCCTTAATACTACCACATTGAGGATTAGGTTTTAAAATATAAACTTTGGGAGGACACAATCTTCAGACTACAGCAACATCCTCTCTTTTCTGCCTGTCTCTTTTCATGGATATTAATTTTAATCTTTATCAGCTTTCGCCTGCCTATGTAAATTGTTCTCCATCTTGTTTCCCTCATCCAAATTTGTCTCAATTCGGACTTCCACAACAGGGAGCTTAATACTATTTTACTTTTTTCTTTCTGCTTAAAGTGTATTTTACTTTTAAGTAAAGTGTAATTTTCTTTACTGCTTAAAGTGTATTTTACTTTTTTCTTTCTGCTTAAAACACGTTAATGCTTGGGAAATGTGATGGAGGCAAGAGTTGAAGAGGTACTCATTGTAGTTTATTGCAGCACAGGCAAAAGATAATGGTAGGTTTGGCTAGTGTGGGGCATAAAGCTGATGGTATAAAGTTTGAAAGATTTTTTTTTTAAGTTTAAGAATTTACCAATGAGTAATATATGTTGTGTTAGTAAGAGACAAACTAAGATTAAACAAAGGACCTTCAGAAATAGAGACCAGTAAAGAAAAGAAAAAAATGTAATGTATGTGTGATCCCAAAAATCAAGTCAGAAAAAAATATCAAGGAGAAATAATCAACTATATGTAATATTTACAATAAGTTGAAGAAAAGAAGCTCTAAGATAAACTATTGTATTTGAGTTTGTGGATAGTATTGATGAACTTGTTACAGGCAAATTGAAAAATACAGGGCATTTCTTGACATAGCTCCAAATTTCTTTCTTTTCATTGATATAGTAAGTAGTCATTTTGACAATAATTTATTTAAATGTTAGTTACCATAGAATAAAAATTATAAATTATCCTGTAACAGAACTCTTGTAAAATCTTTTTTTAAGGTTCATTGTGTATTAGCTATCTTATATTTCTCTCAATATCTTATATTTCTCTTCTTCAAATGTTTTGTAACCTTTAATACAGCTAGATGGAAGATGATTTTTCATGGATGTGATTGAACATGACTTTGGAAGTTTTCCTCCATGTGAGTTTCAAGGTAGTGTTAAAGTAAATAAGAAGGAGGCCATTACATACAGAGATTGTCTCTGTAGCAGAAGCTCTCATATTAGCAAAACCAGGACTTCACTTAAAAAACATTTCTTGTAACTAAGAAAAGAAAAAGGGGGCCTCAGCGAGTCACCACCAATCAACCAGCCAATTCATTATACAACTAGAAACCTCCCATCAGAACGTGCCCAAGTAAGGTAAATGCCTCATCACATTGTGCAGAAATAAGGCAGCCATCTAGCTGTGTCTAATCAGGTAATTTCTCTGCTTCTCCATTTGCTGCTCATGCTTCTGGGTGTAGCTTTCTGAACCTCTTCCGGTTCTGAGTGCTGCCTGATTCATAAACTGTTATTTGCTCAAATGAACTCTGTTTAATTTAATTGCCTAAAGTTTTTCTTTTAACAATAATATAATTTTAATTATTTTTCTATTAAGTTAATTTTGAGTTATTTTTTAACAAGTTTTCAATTTTCTCTAAATCCCATGTTCTAAATGGAATTAAATAGCTAAATTTTAAAAGTAATTTTGGATCTTGGCTATTTTAGTTAACTTTGTGAATACTAGTATACCAAGTAATTCTGTGCTAACTAAAGTTATGATGCTATATAATTGATCTTATTTAGCTTTATAATATTATTTAAATGTTTATAAATAGTTTTGGCTTAAAATTATATAATGTTATTCATTCAGTTGTTCTTATTTACTGTATCTATCTAACATACCCTCTTATTTACATAACATGAAATACATTTTCCTAATTATTTACCTATATAAAACTATTTCATTATTAGTTTCTAATTAGATGTATTAAATATCATGATTTATTATTGCATTCTTCCGATAATACCTATAATCTATAAGCAATTCATACATACGATTCCAAAACATAAATCAGTTTTTTACAAACCATACTAAATATAACTAAGATATTCAGAATAAACATTCAATAAAACTGAATACTTAGACCTTATTAAATTGAATGAATTGTCTCTAATTATGTTTATTAGAAGTGATGGTGTTCCAAACAATCAAATTATCATTGATCATGCCACAAATTCAAGGATACTAGAAATAACATTAAAATTGTAACAGGAGGTTATTCAGTTTTCAAAATCCTCACCTGAAAGAAAAAGCTAAATAGTTGACTTCTGATGAATATCTAGGGCAAAGCTAAATTTACTGCTCTGTGTATGTGTGTGTGTGTGTGTGTATATGTGTGTGTGTGTGTGTGATATTAAAACATAACAAAGCAGTACAGCAGATCCTAGATTAATGGCTTTTTGTTTAATGTTGTTTTGTTACAATGTTTATGAGGAAAATAAAATCTATTTCCAGCCAGGGCCAGCGACTGTGTGGAGTTTGCCTATTCTCCTCATGTCTGCATGAATTTTCTCCAAGGACTCCTGTTTCCTCCTACATTCCAAAGATGTGCATATTAGGTTAAATGGCATTTCTGCAACATCCCGGTCTGAATGAGTGTGGGTGAGGCCTGTGATGGGATGGCATCCTGTCCAGGGCTGATTCCCATCTTGTGCCTTTAGTTGCCAGTAGAGGCTTTGGTCACCCATGACCCTGAGCTAGAATAATTGGGTAAACAATTAGCTTTTTTGTCTTAATTTGTCTTAAATGTATGTGTAGCTTATATTTATTTTAATGTTTAATATTAGAGGTATTTTGGTATTTACTTAGATGTGTAGTGATCTTAATATTTTATCACCAAAAATTTGCCATAAATACTTAACTCTTGTTTATATGAATTAGCCTCTTGGAAAATTGACTTCATTACATGTCTTTTCACTTAAAGTTACAGTTTTAAGAGCCCATTGATGATGTTAAGTGAGGACTTATTGTACTTTATTATATATGATACATTCTCTTATATTCTCATTTTGATCAACTCTATTTGTTTTTATAAAAATATATCTTGTAAACTCATTAAATTGTTTTTATTTCCCCATTTAATATCTTTCAACCTGCAGCTCAAAAACCCTAAAAATTGAAGTGTAAATAATTGGTAATAGATACCACCGAGATATCAGCTGTTTTTTTTTTTTTTTTTTTTTTTTTTTTGAGACAGAGTCTCACTCTGTCACCTAGGCTGGAGTGCAGTGGCGTGATCTCGGCTGAGTGCAACCTCCACCTCCCAGGTTCTCCTGCCTCAGCCTCCCTAGCAGCTGAGACTATAGACACGCCACAACATCCAGCTAATTTTTGTATTTTTAGTAGAAATGGGGTTTCACCATGTAGGCCAGGCTGGTCTTGAACTCCTGAACTCCCACCTCAGCCTCCCAAAGTACTGGGATTGCAGGCAGGAGCCACTGCGACCGGCTGATATCAGCTTTTAATAGCAGAGAGAAGTAAACCTTTTGAGTGCCTCAGTACCCAAAAACAGATACTTTTAAGAAGAGATTGAAACTTTGTATCATGGGGGAATGATATTCGGGTAGACATGAATGACACTGAGAATTCTGAATCTTGAAATTTCTGAAAACATCTTTGGCTGAGAAAACAGACCCACTCCATTAAATCTGAGGGAACCAGTCCTCTATATATTGTATAAAATATTTTCAAAAACTGCATTAGCAAAATCTGAAACTAGATATCCTCCAGGACCTCCTCTCCACTTCCCATGTCATTGCTTACAGGCCCAAATTAAGTTGAATTCCAATATGTCTTGAGCCAGAAGTGTTTACAGCTTAGACCATAAAGGTATAGTCTATACACTGACGGCCAAGCCCTCATTAATTCATACAGTAGAATTCAGAAAGGGTTATGTGGTAGTTAATTTGAAGAACATTGAACAAAGTAAGAACTCGGAACTTCAGGTAGTAGAGAGAATCTTGGCTCAAGTCTGTCTGACAATAAGTCTAGTGGAACTGTGGACCTCTCCTGTTTTTATTTTTATTTTTTTTCTTTTCTCACATATCTCTAACACAGTGGAATAGTATGCCTCATGACAGGTAGAATCTGTGCATAGGTACTATAATATGTAGATTATTACGGTAGGCAGAACTAAGAGTAAATATGATACTACTTGTCCAGGAGAATTACCAATATTTTTACCAACAACAGTTTGAAAGAATGTCATGTTGATGCCTATAACATCCCTATTTAATGTTCCTGTTTGACAGGTGCCAATTCTTTGAGAAAATGATTTATCACAAAATTAACCAGGTGGTATTGATAATTGCTGATGTTGCTTCATATCCTTATTGAAACAATTCAACACAGGTTCAAATACATTGCATGTAACACGGGATATTTTCAGAAGTAGTTTGCATTCTTATGGCAGAAACAGCATAACCTTTGTTTTCTTGCCCTAGGGCTAGGCCAACTGTGATGCTCTTGGTAATGATACAGCACAAATAATGCTAAATGATCTATTTTAATAGCCCAAAGAATGTCACGCTAGTTCATTATATTGATAAAATAATGATAATTATTCCATGGTAAGCCTGGAGTAGTAAGAATTGTAGATGACTAAGTAATTCAGATACATGCCAAAAGATAGTAGGTATACCTCAAGAAAATTGAGACCTAGAACATTGGTAAGCTTTCTAGGAATCTAGTAATCTGGGCATCCATTTTTATTTCTTTTTTATTATTTTTTATTTTTTTTTAAATCATATCTTTTTATTTTTATTTTATTTTATTATTATTATACTTTAGTTTTAGGGTACATGTGCACAACGTGCAGGTTTGTTACATATGTATACATGTGCCATGTTGGTCTGCTGCACCCATTAACTCCATTTTTAAGTAAGAGACAAAGTGTTCTCCTCAAACTACCCACCTTGAAGAAAGAAGTAAAAAGTTGGTGGGCCCCTTTGAATCTTGGAGTCAACTGACATACCACCAGCCATGTATGATCTAGGTTTTAGAGGGCTTGAAGTTTATATAATTTTAGAAGCACACTTAAAAAAATACAAACTTAAGAATACTAGATTAGGCACAAATTTCAATACAGTCATGTGCCGCATATATGGTGGCAGTCCCATGAGATTATAATTGAGCTGAAAAATTCCTATTGCCTAGTGCAATGCAGTACTTGTGTTTTTTGTGTAAACAAACATACTGCCCTGCCAGTTGCATATAAGTATAACATATACAATTATTTATATTACATAATACTTTATAATGATAAAACAACAATGTTACTAGTTTATACATCTTACCACATTTTTTTTTATTATTTTAGAGTATACTCCTTCTACTTAAAAAAAAGGTAACTGTAAGACAACCTCAGGCAAGTCCTTCAGGAGGTATTCCAGGAGAAGGCATTGTTATCAAGGATGAAAACTCCTCGGGTGTTACTACCTCTGAAAACCCTCCACTGGGACAAGACATGGAGATGGAAGATAGTTCTATTGATGATCCTGACCATATAGGTAGGCCTAGGCTAATGTATGTGTTTATGTCTTAGTTTTTAAAAAGAAATTTAAAAAATAAACAAAAATTTTAAAAAACTATAGAATGAGAATAAATGGAAGAAAATGTTTGTACAACTGTACAATGTGCGTTTTAAATTGTGTTGTTACAAAAAGTCAAGAAAGTTAAAAAAGTTAAAGGTTTACAAAGTAAAAAATTACAGTAAGCTAAGGTTAATTTCTTATTGAAGAAATAAAATTTTAAGATAAGAATTTCAAATGAATTTAGTGATGCCTAATTTTCCAGTGTTATAAAGTCTACAGCAGCACACTGTAAGGTCCTAGCCTTTTACATTCAGTTACCACTCACTCACTGACTCATTCAGATCAATTTCCAGTCCTATAAACTCCACTGATGGTAAGTACCCTGTAAAGATGTACCATTTTAAATCCTTTACATTGTACTTTTACTGTAACTTTTCTGTGTTTAGATATAAAAATACTTATCATTGTGTTACAATTGCCTACAGCATTCAGTACAGTAACATATGGTACAGGTCAATAGCCTAGGCACAATAAACTATATCATACAGCTGAGGTGTGTAGCAGGCTCTAGCATCTAGTTTTGGGTAAATATACTCTATGATGTTCCAACAATGACAAAATTACTTAAGAATGCTTTTCTCAAAACATATCCCTGTCATTAAATGATGCATTACTGTATTTATTTTAATTACTGGGTATGACACTATAATATTTTTTATTTTCTGTGTTTTTGCTGTATATTTCAAACCAATAGATCCTGGATTACATTTCATATAAAATTATATTAAACACAATTTTCTATACAGATAGTTTGAATATAATTTAATATTCCTTTTGACACATTTACTGAACAGAAAAAAATTACAACAGCTAGTTTCTAGTTCTGAACATCTGTAAATCTTTTTATTTATATTATTCCTAGAAGTTTTGTGACTTAAGCAAGAAATACATATTGGCAGAGAGATTTGTGGTTACATGCATTTTAGGGGTAGGCGTGAGGTGGTGAAATAGGAAAAATTGATTATTAAATTGTTCACAGTGGACATAGATTTAACTTTTGGTTTTATAGCTAAATGGGGTTATGTGTGCACTCGTGTTTGTTTATATGCAATATAATTGGTTACATTTTAGCTTTAATTTATATTTAATTTTGACATTTCTAAAATTTAACATATCAGAGTCCAGGACTACCACTAGAGTGTGTGGTATACAAAGAGAATATATTTTTGCGTAGCCCTTGTCTATACAAACTATTTGATTAAAAAATGCTTACAAAGTATACAGGCCCGTGTGGGATATAGTGATTTATCAATGAAAATTCAGAAAAATAGGAAGAGAAGAATTTGTTATATATTTCAGAAGATCATTTGTAGTATCAAAGCACGCTGTTTTTCTGTTTAGATCTAGACACCATCTCATCAAGTTTTTCACTGTTAAGTGTGCTGTTACTGGAAAAATTCCTCTCTCTCATCCCAGTGGAATATGTAGCAATTCTGTATGACTCATAACTGTATGGCTCCACAGATTTCTTTGTATTGAAACTATTTACTACTAATTGTCTCTGAATTTTCTTAATGCTGTGTATTTTATGTTGGTTGCATCCTTGTTCAGGACCGTACATCATCTACCAACCCACTCCTAAATATTGGCTTCCAATTACTCTCTGAAAGATGGGTTAATGATGATGAAAGATGCTAGTCTTACCAAGAGTGTGAAAGAAAATGAAACATTTGAACCATATTCACTTTCTGGTCTTGTTATATTTAGCATTTGAAATTTTATAACAGAAATGTAGAGCTATATGTATTCCAAATGCATTGACTAGGAGAACTCTTAGGCCACAATCATTACACTTCTAGAATGTGATCTCTTTCAATACTGACCACATCATTACCTTCCACATGTTTCTATCTGCATGCAGAACAAACTAGGAGTGCATGGAGTAGGTGAAAAGAACATTCTAATTTGTGCTAGAATGCTTGCCACATGTCCAGGAAAGCTTAAGACCTGCTTGGGAGATCATGTTGTTACCTTCTCAGTCAGAGGAAGGATAGGCTGTATAACATGCAGGATCCAGTGAAAAACAAAAATGAAGGACTATTGTTAAAACAATTACACTAAACTGTAAGATAGCAATAGCAGAGAATTAAATCAAGAATGAGACCCTTGCAAAGAAGTGCTCTGAGATATTGCACAGGTTGCAAATTCATAAAGATAGCCCTGATTGGAGAAAACCATGAATCAGAATGGTTCTTTGATTCTGTCAAATTGCAGATGTGATTGATGTGACCAACCACAGAAGACCTCCTGATACTAGACGGGATTGAATGACCATACCGGATGTCAGTAGTGGATAGAGAGTGTGTACAAGGTAAATAAAGTATTTCCCTGATCTTGTTGCTTTCAGGAGCTATAGACCAGAGGCAGCACCTCAGTGGGAACATGGACCAGGAAAACCCAGTGAAAGGACCCATACACATGACTTGAGACCACAAGTCGGAGGTGGTCTTTAGGTAATCCAGAATCCTCATCTCTTCTCGTGTCTGACATGAGTAAAAGTCATCTAAATTCATTATTTCGGCACTATTTATGCAGCTAATTTTCTGCAGCTTCATGAAAGACATTCTGTTCTGGCCGTGGAATTCAAACAATCATTTTACCAGGTTTCCCTTCTGGAACTGGGCCTGGTGTTGGGACTTTGACTGGGACAACCCCAAAAACATAATTCTGGGACTGTGTTGGGAAATCTGTTGGATCCTATATATGGAGACACAGTGTCAGAGAGCTCTATTATGGATCCAGGTCTGGGCTTGCACTGCCCCACGTGGATATCCCTGCTGGCTTTGGCTAATCTCAAATGCTGGAGAGGAACTTCAATATTTTTAGAAAGACACTCAAGCTT